>NC_000013.11:72347499-72499015 GCF_000001405.40 Homo sapiens | reverse complement strand
GGGTCTTGCCACAGGGCCCTGGAGTTCTGGGTCCCCTCTTCAGTCCTGAAGGAGTGATATGGAGGGTAGGAGATAGGCCACCTAATCTGGAGTTCCTGGAGTACCTGGACCCTCATTCCTACTTCCAAAGTTGTTGAGGATGGGCCTGGCTTGGGGGCTCTCCTGCATAGCACATATTGCCTAATGCTGTCATTAACCCAGAACTAGATCAGGGTCTTACCACAGATGACAAAAATTCCGAGGATAATTATTACTGTTCAGGTTTGTAGCTAAGTATATTTTTCCTATAGCTAAATCATCATTTCCTAAATCATCATTTATTTAGAAAGCTTGAAAAAAAATTAAAAAGTAAAGTTTCATGTTTCATGAAGTCTGTATAATTGAGAATTCTGTCCTGTGTTAAAAATTTGTCCGGCAGTACTGTAATGAGTTGTGTAGGCTGTACACATTACATATTGTTTTTGCTGTAAAATACTAATTGATCACTATTTACATATGTTGGACTAATTAGATCATTTTTTCTTTTTTCAAAGGGGTTCAACCATTTAGCTTCAGGGAACTTTAACCTTGCAACTTGCTGCATGCAAGGGACTGGAATCAGACAAGGGCCTGGTCCTAAACCCAGAATAACTGAAATTTAATTCCTGAAGTTCAGGAATTGCTATAATAAATGCTATGCAGAGAAGTGAAATGTGAACACAAGACTTGAAGATGGAGGTTTTACTATTATGTAATTAACAAGAAATCTTGCTAGCCTAAGTTTATGTATGTTTATAGAACTTTTCAACACTTGGAATTTTTGGTAAAGGGCAGGGAGAGGGAAGGATCCTGTCTTTAAAACTGAGTTCATGGGTTAAAAAACAGAGAATTGCATAGTGATGAGGGTCTACTCTTCATCCTAATGGATTCTTCTCTTAGCAGCCTAATTAGTGAGGTTTAAATATCATTTCACTTTCCTTGATCCTCATCTCACAAAAGCATTAAAGACCAACCCAATGGGATATAATTGCAAGTTTAAAATATTTGAAGTCAAATACTCATCCATTCACTAAAACATAGTGAAATTATTGTTTTGAGATTTTTCAAGGGATAAACTTTTTGAGAAGGATTAAAAGGGATGCATTTTTATCAAGCTTTCTAGTGTGCAATATAGGTCCTAATTTCTTACATTTGTTTAAATCTTGGATGAATTTCCAAAAATGGCAATTACAGAAGGGGCTGGTCACACCAAGATGTTGCTGAGACTTGTGAAAATGGGCTCATATATAAGCATTTCCATAAGCAGAGTGAAACTGAATAAATCAAGAGTGAGGATTTAACTTAAGAGCCCTGAATTTGCAATGGAACAGTTGGAGACCCTACTCCTGCCACCTTTTCCCTCTATAATAATTTTCCATTTGTAGCATTGTGAGTATAATTTTGCTGCCAATTCCTAGGGCAATCATCAGTGGGTTATGGAAAGCACTCAGTGATTCCACAGTGACTTCTTAGTACTTATAGATTAACCCTCTGCCACTTAAGCTATGATAGATAATCCTTTAGTCCCTATCCCAGCACAATCTTGTATTACAAATAGACTCTTCCCTAATTTGACTGTGAATGACTCAATGACAGGGACTGTTGTAACTGTACCTGGCACATAGTAGGTGCTCAGTAAATGTTTGATTATTATTAGTTACTGCTCCACAGGGATGAGGACAGAGCTCTGTAGACAGTAAATCCACAGTTAATGATGTTGTGATTGATCTATTTGGTGGGATGATTATCCATTGACAAATCCAAATTTCCATCTTTTCTTCCTTCTCTTTTCTGCCAAGAAAGTAATCAGAACTTTTTGTTTCCTTGCCTCAAGGTCATTGTTTTGCAGAGCAGAAAACATTATTTTCTTGAAGATACTGCTCAACTTCTCTCTGGCATCTAACCCATATTTACCACTGGCTTTAGTTTTTGAAAGCCCAGTCTCTTTAAGGATGTTATGTGACAGTCTATATCCCAGAGGAGACAAGAAGAGAGAAAAAGACTTGGAGGAAGAAAGATGGAAGTGGCCGCCTCTGGGTTAGGGAGTGAGTCCTTAAGACTACTACAAAGAAATGTCCCATACTCTTTGGGCCCTTGGCAAGATGCAGGACGTGGTAGGAAGGGTCATAGGGCATCTCAGAGGCTGGGCCCTTGGTACTCGGGCTGCAACTCTACAGGAATTTCAGTGATGTGGCAGCTGAGCCTGCATCTCTCTTAGGTTGAGATAGTAGCAGAGTGACCACTTAATCACTTGACCGGAAAATACCCTTCACAAGGACTCTGCTTGCTAAATATCTCTGGGACCCCTAAACAAGTAAGTGGGTGATGAAGAAGACCCTAGAGTAAAATAAGGAGAATGTTTTTAAAAGGCTTATCTCAATCATGGCACCCAGACTATAGCTGTACAGACCAAGTGAGGCAGAAAGAGTAGGTGCCATGGAAAGAAATGTGATCAAAATAGACATCTATCTGGAGAGATTTAGGGATTTAAGTACAAATCCCTTTCCAAACTTCCTCAATTTTTTCCCATAGTAGCTACGCACTTCATCTTTAAAACACTATTTGGCTGCAACAATCTGAACGTAATCTGCCTTTCAAGCCTTAGCTCCAGTTCCACTCCACATTGAACCACATCCAAATTAGTGTGTTCTCCAACATCTTCCCATTTAAATTGGGATGTTTGAGTGACCACAATGGAATCATACTATTTTGAGATGTTTCATGCCTTGATATCAGTGTGGCAAATTTGAATTAAGCGTCTTGACTACTTGCATAGTTTTATTTCTTGTTTAAAAAGGAGTAAGTACAGCTGTTATGCAGAAGAGTAATATGTGTCATTATTCTGGAGATTATTACTAATTATAAAAAATTTAGTGAGATTCATGTAAAATTTAAACATTTGACATGGGTTAGAAATTGGAAGAAACACTGAGAAGTTGAGATAAAAGAATCCTAGGCTGGCCAGCCATTCACTACTTGTTGTTCCGTGTTGTTCTCATCCACACGCATTCTCATGCTCAAGTATAAACCCTTCCCAAAGTAACAGCTGGAGTCCAAACAAGATGAAAAATGACAACAGAGCTTAGGAAAAGAGGATTAAAAGCCCTTAAGCTGTCAGAGTCCCCAGGGCATGTGACAGCTACTGCCCAAGCTAGGATCTGCTCTTTGGGAGCCTTTGGGAAGTCAGTGTCTTTTGTAGCTTTTGTGACCCCATCTATCTGAAAAAAGATTATTTATTTATTTATATTTTGAGATGGAGTCTCACTCTGTCACCTAGGCTGGAGTGTAGTGGCACGATCTCGGCTCACTGCAGCCTCTGCCTCCTGGGTTCAAGTGATTGTCCTGCCTTAGTCTCCGAGTAGTTGGGACTACAAGCGTGCGTCACCACACCTGGCTAATTTTTGTATTTTTAGTAGAGACAGGGTTTCCCTACATTGACCAGGCTGGTCTCGAATGCCTGTCCTCAGATGATCTGCCCTCCTCGGCCTCCCAAAGTGCTGTGATTACAGGCATGAGCCACCGGGCCCGGCCTGAGAAGAGGTAATTTTAAAAGCTCTTTCCATGCTTTAACCTTCTCAGTATACATACTGGAATAAGACACACTGGTTTTCCTGAAGCATAGAAATAAATCTTGAAGAGGAATTGTTTTATGTTTTCTATTTCAGTCCTTAGTAAATTAAGAGATAAGTGTGAATTTTAGGGAGATTGGACCCCCTCGTTCTTTGTGACTTTAAAATACAACGTAACTTATTGCTTCTATTGGAAACATGGGTCTGTTTAGAATAGGTATTTGATTTCTCTTCAATCCTTTTTAAGTTTTTTTTTTAAACATTTATTATTCGGCATGAGCAAGAAATACATTCTCCATCTATGGGCTTAGCCCTTTGAATAACATGTGCTTAGGTCAAGGAACTAGTTTTAAAAATTATACTTTACTACCCATGCAGACTGTAAACAATTCAGTTTCAGAGTACCTTATGATCTTACTATTATTACTATGCTTGTTAGAACTCAGTTTTTAAAGCCATCATTTAGTACAGGGTGAATCAGGTCACTATGCAGACATGCTCATCAATGATGCAGAGGAAACTGAAATATAAAACATGAAATCAGAAATTTATTTTACAGACGTAGTATGAATATATTATTGTGCTACTCTTTAATTTTTAAATGAATTTGAGGAAGAGCAATTGCTTATGTCCAGGGACATAGATTTGTTTCTTGAAATCATATAATAACTGTATAACCTTGGTCAGGATATTTTAACCTCTCTTGCCCTCAGTTTCCCTTTCTGCTAATTGAAAAGTTATCACTAAGCACCCAATCAACTAATTGTTTGATATGAAATAGCTAAACTATAGTTGGTATTTTAACTCAATATCATTTAGAATGTTAAGCTTTATCTCCTCAGAAGAAAAAGCATAATTGTCAAAGGCTATGGACTTTTATCAAATGGCAAAGGCGAGAGAGACATGCCCAAACCATTGTTTCTTTTCTGCATTTGTAATCTGTCCTGGAATGAAAGATAGGTTATACAG
Organism: Homo sapiens; assembly: GCF_000001405.40. Taxonomy (NCBI): domain Eukaryota; kingdom Metazoa; phylum Chordata; class Mammalia; order Primates; family Hominidae; genus Homo; species Homo sapiens. Next base: position 72,494,459 of record NC_000013.11, on the reverse strand, counting down.
CAATTTAGTTGTGAATGGTAAAGTGAATGCATAGTATCAAAGACATTAAAACCACATACAAGTTAACAATTATTTCTGAGATCTTTGAGTTGAGTAAACTTGACAATGAAAAAGTTTAAGATGGGGTAAGGTGTTACTGGTCACTTCCATTCTTGAGATCATTTAAATATTATGCTGATAAAAAGAAAATAGAATAAAGTATTATTCTATTAAGGAACTTAACAGTAGAACCCAATAGAAATATGTGATAAATAAATACAATGTCAAGTTAGAAAAAATGTTGTAGTTTCATGTTGTTGGTTTGCAAATTGAATTTTTACATAAAATTTACACTAAATGGAACCTCATTATATAGTGATGAGGTCCAGTATGATCCAAATCATTAAAATCACTGTACTGCTTAATGATTCACTAAGTGGTACTGCAGTGCCATAAATTTAGCACTAGTTTCATGATTCAAAACACCAGACTGAGACACCAGCAAATCGTATGTGGATCATTAAATTTACAATGAATGTCAGAGATGAAATAAAGGGGAAAAAACACTTTGAGAGATAGGGATAATATGTGCTCTAAGGTGACATACATCAAGATAAATGATCTTATACCACTTGTGCTTGGATAATAATGGGGGGTAGTTTTTTTTTTTGTTATTCCTCATTTCATAATTTCCAGAGGGGCTGGAAGTCTAAACTCCTACGAATTAAAGCAGCTGTCACTTTTTGACTACCCTGTGATCTGTTTCATTTATATTTGTAATATATACATTTATATATGCCATTACATTTTAAACTTAGATGATTTTGCCTAGACATTACGGCTCATCTAATTTCCTATCATATTAGTTCACAATGATTTTTATTGTTGAATGAAATTTGGGACTGGTATTACATGAAACCTACCAAGAAAATGAGGTTTAATTCTGAAATCCTTAACAATGTTCATTTAAATCATACCGTTGATGAAATCTTAGCACTATCTTGGTATTTATTCTCTAGAATTGCTTGTGTGACAATCTGTGTATTGCATCTTATAAAATGCAATATTAAATATGTTAAGTATATGCCACCTTCTCACTATTCATAAGTTTTGCTGTTTAGACAACAGAGGGATTCAAATTTGAGAGTACACTGCTTGCATATATGCTTGGGACCTGAAAGGCATGTTTTGTTTTGACCACAAGTAGTATTTTTATATAAAGTATATGAGGCATTATGATTTTTAATAGTCTGTTTAACACTAAAAAGAACAAAAAATTGCTATGTGGTATCTCTAATACATTAGCCAAATGTGTTAGCCAGCAGTACTATTTCTTTGTCAGGAAAACACTAATACTTACTATGTGATGGAGATTATAAAATGCTGGTCTCAGACATGTTATACCAACTTTTGGATCTGGGGTAGTTTGTTATGCTAGGGGTACACCACAGGCTATTTCAGTCAATTATGCCAATCAAACCCTGTGGACTTTCAGACCAGAACCTTGTCCACATGTTATCTTTATTAAGTAGCTGTATTGAATAGCCTCTGTGGGGCAGATTGTTTTTTGGTGGTGGGGAGGGGGTTGGCTATTTTTAATCTATCAGAAGAATGGCATAGACAACAACAGTTCTGAGAGAGCACAGGATGGAGCAGCAAACTCAGAGGAGTCATGGAAATCACGTCCATTGTTTCAGTGATTTCTCTGTTAAAAAGTTCTCTGAAAGTAAAGGCCATGTGCTGGTGAAGATAATTTGTGGAAGTCACACAGAAAACACTTCTTTGTCTTTCTACCTAAGGATGGAGAAGGATGAATTTTTTTTTTTTTTTTTTGAGACAGAGTCTTGCTCTGTGGCCCAAGCTAGAGTGCAATGGTGTAATCTTGGCTCACTGCAACCTCCGCCTCCCAGGTTCAAGTGATTCTCCTGCCTCAGCCTCCCTCGTAGCTGGGATTACAGGTGCCCACTACCACACCTGGCTAATTTTTGTATTTTTAGTAGAGACAGGGTTTTGCCATCTTGGCCAGACTACTCTCAAACTCCTGACCTCAAGTGATCCACCTGCCTCGGCCTCCCAAAGTCCTGGGATTACAGGCGTGAGCCACCGCGCCCGGCCAGGATGAACTTTCTTCTTGAGGGAAAAGGTATATTAGTCCAATCTCATGCTGCTAATAAAGATATACTTGAGACTGGGTAATTTATAAAGGAAAGAGGTTTAATTGACTCACAGTTCGGCATGGCTGGGGAAGCCTCAGAAAACTTACAATCATGGCGGAAGGGGAGGCAAACACATCCTTCTTCACGTGGCAGCAGCAAGGAGAAGTGCCAACCAAAAGGGGGAAAAGTCCCTTATAAAACCAGGAGATCTTGTGAGAGCTCACTTTCACAAGAACAGCAACATGGGAGTAACCGCTCTCATGATTCAATTACCTCCCACAGGATTCCCCCAAAGACATGTGAGGATTATGGGAACTACAATTACAGATGAGATTTGGGTGAGGACACAGCCAAACCATATCACAAGGATAGTTTGATTCTGGCTACTGGGCCCTGGAGTGGAACATTGAGAAGGAGATCACTTATTCTTTCTTGTAAAAATAAAAAATGTTTATAAATTCTGCTTTTGTTTGGGGGAAAAGTCCAGTTGAAAGATAAAAGAGGAAATTTGTTCAATGAAAGCATTTAAAATTGACTACTTAAACTTTAGGAGTTTTATTAAAGTTGGCTAAATACTTAAGTCAATTTCTTCTTTTGGTAAGAATGTTAGTAGTAGTAACCAAAGACTATACAGAGCCAAAATGAATCTGTATAGTCTCCTGCCTCTCCCAACATTATGAAGGTCTTAGTCTATCCAAGTGAAATACAGAACAACAAACAAACACCAAAGACTAAAGAGAACTATAAAAAAGAAATGTATTCACTTTGTCCTTGAAACTTTGAAAACAATTTCTAGAATAAACAGGTTGTGAAAATAGGATATTCTACCAGCTCACACTGAGCCTAATATCTAGAAATTGCTTATAGCAGAGGGGTATAGATAATTAGGAGAGTAAATAAATAGGAGAGAAAATAAAACATGCTGTTGCAGTCTTGCATAATAAGACTTAGGACACAATTGTAAAATGGGGCAGTTTAGTAAGGTTCCAAGACAAAGCAAATGGCCTTTGGTCAAACGCTGGCTCCGAAAGAACTTTTCTTTTTTTTTTTTTCTGCCTCTGAAATTTCTCCTAAATCTGTGCAAGAAGTATATTTTATAAAATTTCTTATTTGTCCTTAATAATTAATCAGTTTCCCTTATTAGTACTTTGTCCACTAAAAGAGGAAATCATTTTGGAAGAGAGAAACATGTGACATAAGGGAATGTTCTATTCAGTTAGGTAGATAAAGTAGATCCCCTCCCTCACCCCACTCCCCTATCCTTCAGATATGTGGACTAGTAGGAAGATGATGAGCGGGCTAGTGGAGGAAAATTATCAGAATTGTGTCTTTTAACATTCTTTCTTTGAGGTCTGAAGGATCTGAATAGAGAGGAGGTGAGTTAGCCAGATTCAGATGTAAATAGAGTAGAGGGGCTTGTGTTCTACTGCTTTTTTTTGAACTATGCAAAAATACTGGGCATGGTGCCCTTGCACCAATATGGGGCAGCCCATACATTGTAAGGCAGCAGAGTAGAGGGCTCAGGCAGATAGAAATTTTGGTTTTCACTCCAGGGTCTTTGTTTGTTATGATGCGACATTAATAAGACGAGGGTTGGTGGACAACCCTGGAGCTTGACATGTCAGTGACTGAGAAGGACAATGGAGGACAGGAGAGGGATAGAGAATGTGGCAGAGACTCAAAGGGATCTGTGGCACCAACAATAATAGGGGCGTGGAGCAGAGATCAAGTCCATAGGATGGGCTAACAAGCAATGACCAACCCCAGAAAAAATCTAACACTAGCTCATCAACTACAGGTATTAGCTGTGGAGTATAACAGTATGGCCCTATAGGGGAATGAGCCAGCCATTACACAGAAGATTCCAGAGAGCGATTGCATGTCCAAGAACTAGTGCAAGTCCAAGAAATCCCATTAATACCAGTATCATGAAGTTTGATAAACCTCTCATATACCAGGGCACTGTTTTAGGACTGCCACAAAGGAGGCATGGAAAAAATCTAACAACATCTTCCAAAGGCTGATTTAAACTAAGAGACAGAGCCATTTTCAATTATTGGCTCAGATTACATTTAATCCATATTAAATTTAATTTTCCCTCCATTACTTAATTGATTGGAGCCTTCATGAAGAGTATGAAGTAGGTTATAAAGGAGTCACATTTTCCCTGCATATTTGAGTTGTAATGTGATAAACATATGTAATCGTACAGAAAATTTAATCATCTCTATGGTTGTTGGTTCTCTGTGGGTTGAAAGTAGGAGGAGCTGCACTTCCTTGAGCCTGAACAAAGCTGGAGAGACGAGTGGAATGGAGTCTCTACAACTAGGTCATTAGGCTAGAAGCCAACTGAATGTGCTGCCCAGACAAGGCCTCAAGGTCTCATAAAGAAACGCATATGTCTAGCTTGCAGAGTATATGCAACAGCATAATTATTGAGCTACTGGTGAAAAATTTTCAATAGGAAAATAAGAGCATCTGGGATGAATGACTTCTCTGTAAATGTCTGGCTTGTGTCTGAACGATCTGTTTCTCCAACATTGTGAGCATTGACTATCCATAAAAAGCTCATCATGGTCAGAAACAATGTTCGTTCAGCTGTTGGTCAACAATATAAATGGCCTTGTTTTGATCAGGTCTTCCATCTCTTTAATGTGATTCCAGTACTTAATATATTTTGCATACTAATGCCTTTTGACTAGGGAAATATCTTTCTTGTGATCTCTCTTTTGAATGTGAGCTGGGTTTTTTTTTTTTTTTCAGAGAAGATGCTTGATATTTCTTTAGTTTAGGGATATGAGGTTGTGCTTCAATCATTTTATGAAAAATTTTAACTTAATCGCATTCTAAGTGGGTTAGCTTCCTATCTTTTGTGAATAGAGATGAGGACTAAAGAAGAGAATAAAACAGAATGTAGAGAGAAGGCAAAGAAATGTATAATTATTTTCCCTTTTTAGCATTGCATGTATTAGTTTATGCAAGTATCTATTTTTACTCATATCACCATATTTCTGAACTTTATAGAACCTTGAAATCTTGTCTAAAACTGGGACATAGAAGCAGTTCCCTTCAGGATAGTATCTAAATAGTGGCTTTTAATTTAATTTCCCTTTGAGATGGGGGGTTCTGAAAAAATTTGTGTTTTTTCTTTGGGTCCCTTTCCAGATAACCCCTATTATGAACCACCAATCAATGTGTTGTAAATACTATGTTGTACTAAATTTATACAAAGATTCCATCTCCCACCTCATGGAAGCTCAGACAATGAAGAACATTACAAAAAATTGTTTGTTTGTTTTTTGGTGGGGGGAAGAGGGTGAGTGGCCGGGTTCCTAGGAGGAATGTGTTAAAAATGGTGGAGACATCAAACATGGAAAATATTTTTTCCACATATATATATATGAAAGAGAGCTTGAACTGGGAGTTTTTCTGGCCCTGTTCCACCTCTAATGCCGTGAGTGACTTTGGCCATGTGTTCCATTTCCCATATCTCATCTGTAAAACCAATCACTGATTTCATACAGTTGATATGAGAATAAAAAGAGCTAAGATCTATAAAAATATTTATCATTATAAAATATTACCCAGTCATGAAATATTAACTATATTAGTATTAACTGGATATTGATGAAATTACCTAACACTTTTGCATTTTATTAGCAGATAATCAGTACAGCATGACCCTATTCTTACTCCCATTCTATGCTCAGAATCATATAGCTGCTGCTTCTCCTCATGTTGGGTATTTTCCATATCAGGGTGAAAAGAACTTCGGATTTTCCCATCTTTCATATAAGCACAAGGAAACCCAATATCCCCATCCATGCTGAGCCTATGACAGCTTATTGACTGTTAATAACCTTGACAATGTTATTTTTCCTAGAGAAAAAGGAGACTTGATGACTTCTTTGTTCAATTTCACCTAAAGAGTAGTCTTGCCTGGTGCACACAGTAAGTGTCATTGGTAGGGAATTGTCCAGGAGGCATTCAGTATGTAAATGTTCTAATTAGATCAATGTAAAAGAGCAGTCGTACATTCTGTTATAGCAGTGTGTCTGGTTCCATTAATAAAACCTCCCGAAGGCATGCACTACTAGTTTTCTCAATTAGTTTGTCCCAGATCATTTCATCTTAAGGTAGGGAGGGGAGAAAGGGTGGAATGAGAGGGTGAAAGGGAGGTGGCAAATTTACAGGTATTTTCTTCAGCTCAGAGAGCTGCCCAAATTTGTCCCTTGTTCCACCTGGTCACTATATTTGTCTTTAGAAAATCATATCCCTACATAGTATTTGGACAAATGAAAAATCAAAACACAAATTCTCCCCTTCCTTTTTCCCTGATGGAACAGATACCACCAGCTGGAGCCCTGCCTTCTCCTCCTTCTCGTCTTCCTCTTCCTTATTTTTACTTTCCAAAGAAAATATCATTATGTAAAATTCCTAGCACAATACCTGGCACATAATAGCTGTTTAATTAAGCATTTGTTCTCTTCCCTTTCTCAAAGATATAGCATGCTCCAGGCCTCTGAAAATGGAGAGCAAGTATGGAGGGCTGTTGAACGCATAATAAGGGGACCCAATTCGTGTGAGGGAAGACATGGCAATCCTTTCTCCTTACATGTGACTTTGAAATTATCAGGCTATACAGCTGTTTGTTTCAGAAGCATCTGATGTTTTTAAAGGGAGATATATGCAAGAGAGCTTTTTTTTAACATCTGAGAGGAGGGGGAGAGGTAAGAGGGTAAAATCCTAGCAGAGAACACAAATAGTGTGTGTGCTGTTGGCTGTTGCACTGTGCTCTTCACCTCCCCTCCATATTGTTCTTTCTCCAATCACTTTCTTCTGTATTTGGGTGTAAGCCTTATCAATATCATTTCCAAGTTTCTCCCTTCCCACTCCCCCAAGAGTTAAGAAGTCATTGGAGGATATGGAGAACAGTAAGAGGTTGACCAATAGAGCACGGAGTCAGGGCAACGGTAATGACAGCTGGTAACAGTGGACAAGTGTAATGCCTAGAGGCTCTGAGCAGCCCTAGCTTACCTAGTCTATTCTAGCATACCTAATCTACCTATCTTATTCAAGAAAGCCAAAGAATTTGCTTTCATAAGGTGTGCTGACTTGCTTCAATTGCCCCTCCCATCTCCTTGAAAGACATAAACCAAGAGAAGGTGAGATGACATAGAAAGATCATACAATTAGAATTGAAAGTGAGCCTTAGGTTGACTTTACAGTTCTCAATTGCCTATATAATAATCCCTTGTCATTTCTGAGACTCGGGTTTTCCATCTGTGAATTGGAGACAACATTATGTGTTACATAACTCATGGGATAATGTGTTAAGTGCAATAAAGTATGTGAAAACCTTATGTAAATTGTATTACCTCGTATACTCTTTGCACATTTTGTGCAGAAGCCACAAGTGTACTATTCGTGGAGCCATCCCAGAGTAGCTGTATTAAGAAGGGTGACACGGAAAAATGACTGAATAATGGTTTATCATTATCTGTAGTGCTATTCTACAGAGGAGAAGGAAACAGTTTGTTTATATATATATATATATACACACAAACATATATAAATAAATTGATATATAAATTTTTTTTGAGGGTCAATAGAAGGGGATAGGTTAAAGATAAAAAAGCATTTACTGGTTATGAAGTAATATGGGTGACCATTTTTGGTTACAAACATTTTTTACCTGGAACTCTTAATGACCAAGATGGGTATGCACTCAGTGTAAGGTTACAATACAAATTTAAAGGGAGATATTGTAGCTAGAAGTGATGATACTGATGGTCAACTATCTTATAAGTTTATCAATAAAATATTAGTTTAAACCATACAAAATATCTGTTATTTCTGAAATTTGTGATATTTGCTAACCCTTGACCTACAAAAATGACAATTTTGTATTGTTCAGTTATTCTAGGAACAAGAGATAACAGAATGAATTGTGTCAGTGAGCTAGAATGTATGATTAAGAATGAGCAGGTGGGTTTGGAAAAAGGTAAGGGAAACTGGGTTGCTAAAGAAGGCATATTAACATGTCTAACCATGGATCCAGGATGAAGAAAATCCAGTGTAGTCATTATACAGTGTTAAGATGTTGGGAAAACTGGGATGCACTCAGTGGCAGTCTCTGCTCAGAATGTTTTTCTCTCGCCTTTTCATCTGGCTCACCCCTACTCATCCTTCAGGTTAGCTCACAGAAGCCTTCCCTGTCCTAACACGATAGGTTTTGCCTCACTCTTACATGCTTTTGTAGTGCTCTGTGACTTTTCTTCACAACGCTTGAGAGAATTGTTATTTTGTGTGCACACATCCATGGGTTTAAATATCTGGCACTTTCACCAGATCATGGAGCTCTGTGAGGGCAGGAGGCATGTGAGTCTTGCTTGCTACTATTTCTCCAGAGTTTCACATAACATCTGGCATTCAGGAGTTTCAAAATGTCAAGGAGTCTAAGGATGGTGACTTTTTAAGTATAAAACCAGATGATAGAGTGTAGAGGAAGAATGTGAATCAGAAGCTTAGGAGAACAGAGGAAACAGATCTGATGTATGGGCCAAGGGGGAAATGGCAACCAATACCCACTGTGACTTAAAATTTTAGAACAGACAAATTGACGTTAACCCATTAGAATTAAGAAGAGAGCGTGGCTCTATGATGTAGTTGCAGAAGTGACCTTAGTAAATGAGAAGGCTGCTCCCTCTTCCTCTACTGCACCACTCTTTTTTTTAAAATTATTTTAAAAAATTGACAAGTAATTGTACATATTCATGGGGTACTGTATTAGTCTGTTTTCACACTGCTATAAAGAAAGAACTACCTGAGGCTGGGTAATTTATAAACAACAGAGGTTTAATTGATTCACAGTTCCACATGGGTGGGGTGGCCTCAGGAAATTTACAATCATGGCAGAAGGCAAAGGGGAAGCAAGGCACATCTTACACGGTGGCAGGAGAAAGAGCAAAAGGAGAAACTGTCAAACATTTTTAAACCATCAGATTTCACAAGAACTCATTATCATGAGAACAGCATGCGGAAAACCATCCCCATGATAAAATCAACCCCCACCAGGCCCCTCCTGTGACACGTGAGGATTACAATTTGAGATGAGATTTGGGTGGGGACACATAGCCAAACCGTATCAGGTATGTAGTGATGGTTTGATACATATAATACACAGTGATCAGATCAGTGTATCCTCTTCTCAAACCACTATCATTTTAAGATAATTGCTTGATTTTTAAAACATATAATTAGTTAGTTAATTTGAGATGGGGTCTCACTGTGTTGCCCAGGCTAGACTCAAACTCCTTGACTCAAGCAATCTTCCTGCCTCAGCCTCCTGAGTAACTGGAACTACAGGTGTGTACCACTGGACCTGGCTTTCCCACTCTTTGATCTGGCAGATATTGGGAGAAGAATGATCTTCATGAGAGAAGCCATTGAAAGACACTGTGACTTCAAGAAGTCAAGTTAGTTTAGTTAAATAATTAATTAATTATTTAATGTTTTTGTAGAGGTGGAATCTTGCTATCTTGCCGAGGCTGGTCTCCAACTCCTGGGGCTCCTCCTGCCTCAGTCTTCAAAGTGCTTAGGCTATAGACATGGGCAATCACATCTGGCCAAGGGGTCAAGCTCTTGAAGAAACAAAAATGAGGAGCAAGATGAGAAATGAGGTTAGATAATGACCCCCAACTGAATTGTGATCTCAAAGGGACAGAAGGCAGGTCCTGAGGGAGAGCCATGGGTGGGTAGAAAGAATAAACATGAGGTGGATATAAGGTAGTTTTCAGAGGACATTGGTTGAATGGGAAAAGTTGGATCTGGTGTGGCAGATGTGAGTAGTGTGAAAGGAAGTTCCTGAGGAAAGAAGTGGAATGAAGTAGAGGAGAAATGCTCACGGTGTGGACAGTGTATGTTGAATGTTCTGGACTGTGAGCAGAATGCATGCTGAAAGTTACAGATAGAATGTGCCCCCCAGAATTCATATGTTGAAATCTAATCCCCAATGTGACGGCATTCAGAGGTGGGGCCTTCGGGAGGTAATTAGGTCATGAGGGTGGTGTCCTCATAAATAGGATTAGTGCTATTATATGAAGAGCCCAGAGAGCTAGTTGGATCTCTTTCTGCCATGTGAGTTTACAAGGAGAAGTCAGCCCTCCCAGGCTTCGAAACTATGAGAGACACATTTTCTTGTTTAAGCCACTCAGTCTATGGTAATTTGTTATAGCAGCCTGAACTCACTAAAATAGTGAAAATACCCAAGCAAGGTTATGGAGCTGTTGCTAGAAATCTCAGCTGTTCAGCAGACCCAGGATTCTGATAAGATGGCTAGTCTGCCAGTATTTCCACACTCTCCTTCCCAGCTAATTTAAGAATGTACAAAAGGTAGGGGGTGAGGTTCCTGCCCTAGAGCTTAGGATTGAACTAGGAGGACAAGCAAACCTCTCTATAATTATTAAAGTAGTTTAATGATATGCTTTAACAGTTATTTTGCTGCATGGCAATTAGATTAAAATGGTAAGTCAGTCACATAAATGAATATAATTAGTAGTGTTTTTGCATAGTTAAATCAAGCATTTAGAGGCCTGTTAGGTGAATGGTGGTCCAGGGAGAAAGAGAATTTGTGGCTCCTAGCACTTCAGCTAAAGGGAAGGATTATAGATTGCTCCAAGATTCTCTCTTCGATGTGGTCCTTAGAATGCAGGCTGCCTGCTTTCCAGCAACATCACTATATGACTCTAGTTACAGTCTACCCTTGTCCTTCTTCTCAAGACCCAGACAGAGAGGAAGAGGGAGGGGTGGTGAGGGGGATGGGTGAGGGGGTAGACACCTCTCTGCCATGAGAGTATAGAAAGGTCCTGACTTTGGGAAAGTATCTTGTCATCTTTTGCTCTGAAAAAAAAAATTGTATTTTATTATCTTGAAGCATTTCAAACACAGAGAAAAGGGAGAAAGAATGTAAGTGCCCTATCCATCCTTGACAGATTTTGACAGATGGTATATTTACTTCAAGATTTTAAAAAAGTAAATAAATTATACATTATAGATACAGATGAAGTCTCCTTTTGTACTTCTCCCTGATGTAATTTCCCTCCACCTAGAGGAGCCACTATTTCAAAATAATTATGCATCCCTTTCATGTGTATTTTTATGCTTTTACTATAGATATGTTTTCTTAAAAAAATTAAATTTTTAAGTGTTTTAAAATTCTAATAAATAATGTACGGTACTTAAGAGCTTGAGAGGGTTTATTCAGAAACAAGTTAGAGAATATCCAATGTTCAAGCTTGAACCTTGTAACATAAGCACTAGGAACATCATTATCTTACATATAAAGAATTCTGGTATAGGTGATTTCAGGTCAGGTGCAGCAGTTCAGTAACATTATTAAAGACCCAGGCTGTTCATGCCCTCCTGCCCTGCCATACTCAGCAAGATGCATTGCTTTCCTAATGCTTGTTGCCTCGGGTGACAAGATGGCTGCAACCAGGAACCATGATCTCACACAACTACATTCGAGGCAAGATAAAAAACAAAGAAAAAAAATCCCATATTAACTCCTCTTGCTCCCATGTACACACAGCACATAATCCTGCAGCTAGGAATATAATGGATTTATTCATTTTAAAAAAATACTAATTAGTTCCCCCCTGTATCCAAATATTTATTTTTTTTGATTTACAAATAAAAATATTACACATTTTTGGTGCACCATATGATGTTTTGAAATCTGTATACATTGTGGAATGGCGAAATCAAGCTAATAATTACTTCACATATTTATTTGTGGTGATAATACTTAAAAAATCTGCTCTCTGGGCATTTTTATTTTCTTTCTTTCTTTCTTTCTTTCTTTCTTTTTTTTTTTTTTAAATGAGATGGCATCTCGCTCCGTCATCCAGGCTGGAGTGCAGTGGTGCCGTCTTGGCTCACTGTGGCCTCCACCTACTAGGTTCAAGCGATTCTCCTGCCTCAGCCTCTTGAGTAGCTGGGATTACAGACACCAGCATGCCTGGCTAATTTTTGTATTTTTAGTAGAGACAAGGTTTCACCATGTTGGCCAGGCTGGTCTCAAACTCCTGACCTCAAGTGATCTGCCCACCTCAGGCTCCCAAAATGCTGGGATTACAGGCATGAGCCACTGCACCTGGCTTCTCTGAGCATTTTTGAAGCATACAGTGCATTGCTATTAACTCTTGTCACAATGTTGTACTTATTTCTCTTGTTTAACTGAAATTTGTTATCCTTTGACCAATATCTCCCTAATCCCCCAAACCCCCACTTCTGGTAACCACCATTTTACTCTCTGCTTCTGTGAGTTTGACCTTTAAGATTCCACACATAAGTGGAGATCATATGGTAATTGTCTTTCTGGCTTACTTCATTTAACATAATGTCCTCTGGGTTCATCCAAAATCCTGTCACAAATGTTAGGATTTCCTTTTTTGTGTGTGTGCTGAATAGTATTCCATTTTGTATATAAGCCGTATTTTCTTTATCTATTTTTTTGTTGATGGACATTTAGGTTGATTCCGTATCTTGGCTATTGTAACTAATTCTGCAGTGAGCATGAGAGTACAACTATCTCTTTGATATACTGGTTTCATCTCTTTGAATATGTACCTGGTAGTAAGATTGCTGGATCATAATGTAGCTCTTTTATTAATTTTTGGAGGACTTCCAATAATCTTTTCCTTAAAGGCTATAAGAATTTACATTTCCATCAATAATGTACAAGTGTTCTTTTTTCTCCACATCCTGACCAACACTTATCTTTCCTCTTTTGATAAAGCCATTCTAGCAAGTGTGAGATGGTATCTCATTGTAATTTTAATTTGCATTTCTCTGATAATTAGAGATGTTGAGCATTTTTTCACGTGTGTGTTGGCTGCTTGTATGTCTTCTTTTGAGAAATGCCTATTCAGGTTCTTTGCCCGTTTTTCAATCATGGTATTTGTTTGTTTGCTATTAAATTGTTTGAGTTCCTTACACATACATGCTCCTTGACTTAAATGGAGTTATGTCCCAGTAAACCCACTGGGTCCTAAGTTGAAAATACATTTAATGCACCTAACCTACCAAACACCATGGCTTAGCCTAGCCTACCTTAAACATGCTCAGAACACTTACATTAGCTTACAGTTGGGCAAAGTCATCTAACACAAAGCCTATTTTATAATAACATATGGAATATCTCATAAATTATTGAATACTGTACCGAAAGTGAAAAATAGAATGATTGTAAGGGTACTAGAAGTATTTTTTTTACTGAATGCCTATTGCTTTCACACCATTGTAAAGCTGAACAATGGTAAGTCAAGCTATCATAAGTTGGGGACCCTTTGTATTTGGATATTAATACCAATTTTAGGTATATAGTTAACAAGTATTTTCTCCCATTCTGTAGGGTTTCTGTTCATTCTGTTGTTTGTGTCCCTGGTTGTGCAGAAGTTTATTAGATGTAATTCTATTTGTCTATTTTTGCTTTTGTTGCCTGTGTTTTTGGGGTCATGTAGAAAAAAATTATTGTTCAGACTAATGTTGAGGAGCTTCTCCCCTATATTTCTTCCAGTCATTTTCGAGTTTCAGGTCTTATATTTGCATGTTTAATCCATTTTGAGTTGCTTTTTGTACTTGGGGTAAGCTAAGGGTTTAATTTCATTTTTCTGCATGTGGATATCTGGTTTTCCCAGTAGCATTTATTAAAGAGATTTTCCTTTCTCCATTGTGTGTTCTTGGCATGTTTATAAAAAAATCAATGGATTCTAAATGCATGGGTTTATGCAATTCTGAACTATCTATTCAGTCCCATTGGTCTATGCATCTGTTTTTATGCCAGCACCATGCTGTTTTGATTATTAGAGCTTTGTAGTAGATTTTGAAATCAGATAATGTGATGGTTCTGGCTTTGTTCTTTTTGCTCAAGATTGCTTTGGCTATTTATTGTCTTTTGTGGTTTCATACAAGTTGTAGGATTATTTTGTCCATATGAAACATATCAGGATTTTGATAGGGATTACATTGAATCTGTAGATTTCTTTGGGTAGTATAAACATTCTAACAATATTTTTCCAATCCATGAACACAGGATATCATTCTGTTTATTTGTGTCTTCTTTAATTTCTTTCATCAGTGTTTTATAGTTTTCAGTGTACAGATCTTTCACTTCCTTGATTGATTTTATTCCTAAATATTTAGTTTTTTTGGTAGCTATTATAAATAGTTATTGTAAATGGGATTGTTTTCTTGGTTTCTTTTTCAGAGAGTTTATTGTTAGTAAATAGAAATGCTACTGATTTTTTAATGTTGATTTTGTATTATGAAACTTTACTAAATTTATTCTGTTTTTTGGTGGAGTCTTTAGGGTTTTCTATATATAAGATCATGTGGTCTACAAAGAGAGACAATTTAACTTATTTCTTTCTGATTTGGATACCTTTTCTTTCTTTCTCTTGACTAATTTCCCTATGACTTCCCATACTATGCTGAATAGATGTGGTGAGAGTGGGCATCCTCGTTTTGTTCCTGTATTAGTCCATCCTCATGCTGCTATGAAGAAATACTTGAGATTGAGTAATTTATAAAGAAAAGAGGTTTAATTGATTTACAGTTTTGCAGGGCTGGGGAGGACTCCAGAAACTTACAATCATGGCAGAAGGCACCTCTTCACAGGGCAGCAGGAGAGAGAATGAGTGCAAGCAGGGGAAACACCAGATGCTTATAAAACCATAAGATCTCATGAGACTCACTCACTATCACAAGAATAGAATGGGGGAAACTGCCCTTATGATCTGATTATCTCCACCTGGTCCTGCCCTTGACCTGTGGGGATTATGGGATTACAATTCAAGATGAGATTTTGGGTGGGGACACAACAAAACCATATCAGTTCCTGATCTTAGAGGAAAACCTTGCAACTTTTCAGCCTTTAGTATATGTTAGCAGTGGGCTTGTCATGCATGGCTTTTATTGTATTGAGGTATGTTTGTTCTCCAACTACCTTGAGAATTTTTTTCATGAAAGCATGTTAAATGTTGACAAATGTCTTTTTTGCATCTATGGAGATAATCATATTCTTTTCCCCTTCTTTCTGTTATTGTGGTGTATCATAGTACATAACATTGATTCGCAAATGTTGCATCATCCTTGTATCCAGGGATAAATCCCACTTGATTATGATGAGTGATCCTTTTAATATTGTTACTATTTTAATGTTCTTTTAGTATTTTGTTGAATTTTTGCATCCACTTTCATCAAGGATATTGGCCTATAATTTTATTTTCTTATGGTGTCCTTATCTGGCTTTGGTATCATGGTAATACTGATCTCATGAAACGAGTTTGGAAGTATTCCCTCCACTTCAATTTCTTAGAAGAGTTTGAGGAGGATTGGTATTAGTTATTTAAATGTTTGGTAGAACTGAGCAGTGAAGCCATCAGGTCCTGAGTGTATCTTTGATGGGAGACTTTTATTTCTGACTCAGTCTTTGTCACTTATTATTGGTCTGTTCATGTTTTTCATTTCTTCATGTTTAGCTTTGGTATGTGTAGAAATTAATCCATTTTTTCTAGGTTATCCAATTTGTTGGCCTATAATTATTCATAGTGGTCTCTTATGATCCTTTGTATTTCTGGGGTGTAAGTTGTAATGTTTCCTCTTTCATTTCTGATTTGAGTCTTCCCTAAGTCTAGTTAGGAGTTTATTGACTTTTTTTATATTTGCAAAAAAGCAACTCAGTTTCGTGAATCTTTTCTTATGTTTTTCAGTCTCTATTTCATTTATTTCTGCTCTAATATTTATTATTTTCTTCCTTGTACTAACTTTGGCTTAGTTTGTTCTCTTTCTAATTGCTTAAAGTGTAATATCAGGTTGTTTATTTGAGATCTTTCTTCTTTTTTGATGTAGGCATTTAGAGCTAGAAACTTTCCTGTAATAACTGCTTTTGCTGTATCCCATAAGGTTTGGTATGTTGTGTTTCCATTTTTGTTTATTTCAAGATATTTTAAATTTTTCTTTTGAATTTCTACCCATTGGTTGTTTAGGAGTATAGTGTTTATTTCTATCTATTTGTGAATTTTCCTAAAATTTTATTTCATGCCATTGTGTCCAGAAAAGATACTTGATATGATTTTAATTTTCTTAAGTTGTTAAGACTTGTTTTATGGCCTACCATATCTATCCTGGAGTATGTTCTATGTACACTTGAGAATAATGTGAATTCTGCTGCTGTTGGATGAAATGTTCTCTATATGTCTGTTAGGTCTATTTGGTCTAAAGTATAGTTCAAGTCCAATGTTTCCTTATTGATTTTCTGTCTGGATGATCTGTTTATTGTTGAAAGTCGAGTATTGAATTCCCCTCCTATTACTGTATTGCAGTCTATCTCTCTCTTCAGATCTATTAATATTTGCTTTATATATTTAGGTGCTCTGATGTTGGGTGCATATATATTCACAATTGTTATATCCTCTTCCTGAATTGATCCCTTTATCATTATATAATGACCTTCTTTGTCTTGTTTTACAGTTTTTGACTTAAAGTCTATTTTATCTAAAATAAGTATAGTTATTCCTGCTTTCTTTTGGTTTTCACTTGTGTGGGATATATTTCCATTCTTTTACTTTCAATCTCTGTGTGTCCTTGAAGGTGAAATGAATCTCTTGTATGCAGTATATAGTTGGGGCTTGTTTTCCTCTTTTTTTTTTTTTTTTTTTTTTAAAGTCCATTCAGCCATTCTATGTCTTTCATTGGATAATTTAATCCATTTACATTCAGGATAATTATTGATAGGTAAGGACTTGCCGCTGTCATTTTATTAATTGTTTTCTGGTTGTTTTGTAGATCCTTTGTTTATTTTCTTCCTCTTTTGCTGTCTTCCTTTGTGATTAGGTGACTTTCTCTGGAGGTATGTTTTGATTCCTTTTTATCTTTCGTGTGTCTGCTATAGGTTTTTGCTTTATGGTTAACATGAAGCTTATATAAAACATGTTATTGTTATAACAGGATATTTTAAATTTATAACAACTTAACTTCGATCATATGAAAAACCTCCACACTTTTATCCTCACATTTTATAACACAATTTATATTTTTTATATTGTGTATTTCTTAACTTATTGTGGCTATTATTATTTTTAACAGTTTTGTATTTCAACCTTCCTAGTAAAAATAAAAGTGATTTATAGGTCACCACTACAGTATAAGAGTATTCTGAATTTGACTGTATATTTACTTTCACTGGTGAGTTTTATACTTTCATATGTTTTCATGTTACTGATTAGTATTCTTTTCTTTCAGCTTGAAGAACTCCTTTTAGCACTTTTTGTAAGACTGGCCTGGTAGTGATGAACTCCTTCGGCTTTTATTTTTCTGGGAAAGTGTTTATTTTTTCTTCATTTCTGATATATGGCTTTACCAAGTAAAATATTCTTGGTTGGCAGTTTTTTTTTTTTCTTAAGCAGTTTGAATACATCATCTCTCCTGGCCTGTAACATTTTTGCCAAGAAATCCCTGCTAGCTTTATTGAAACTCCCTTATATGTGATAAATAATTACTTTTAAAACATCAGGTAGCTTGTTCTAGGTGTTGAAAGCATGTTTTGAAATATCCAGCATCCATACCATAGGGCATTTAGTTTGGGGTAGGAGTGTAACAGAATGAAGGGAGCAGAAAGAAGTGCCCTGAAGGAGTGGTACTGTATTAGAAGCCTAACATTGGTCTCTGCTGCCAGCAGATCAGACATTCAGCAGCAGCAGAAGCTAGATCATCCTTGATTAAAGAGAGTCTGTGCATTGCCTCCATCTCTGTCACCATGACTAGTCTCTCCATAAGCCCATTGTGCAACTATTAGGCTGGCTAAAGGAGTTTGGCTGATAACAACTGGCTAAGGCATCACTGTTCTTTTCTTCTTTCTGTCTTTTTTCCTTGCATAACCTTTCCATTTGATTATTTAGTGCCTCTTGTGCAGTATTTGCTCTCTAGTGTGCAATAATATATGATACAAAGTTCTTCACATTTTAAGCCTATTCCTATAAGTTCTCCCACATGGCTCCTCCCAAATCTCCTTGTCCCAAATATTTCATCTTGATCCTCCCAGGTCTCTGCTGAACCAGCTAAGCCATTCATCATTGCTATTGAGTTTATGTATATCTTTATCTTGGGTTACTTTTCTCTCAACACAAAGTAGAAGATCAGGTGCACACTTGAAGTTCTGTCCACTGGGAGAATTTCCCTTCACCATCGTCTTTCACAGCCACTTTGTAGTTGTGGCAGCAATCCATTTTGGGATTGCACCCATGTACTGGGCTGGCTCACCTGTGAATCAAGTTCAGGTTATTTCTTCCTCTGTCAGCTATTACAGGGAACTCCCCATGAAAGAATAGCTGTGATCTGAACAAGGGGCATCACTGTCACAGTGGTGAGTGATATAAGGATCTGTGTATCTCCTTGTGCATCTTAGTTATGACCTTTGAACCTGCTTGAGGCTGATCCTGGTGCTTCTCATCCCACTCAACCACACGACTTGGTGTATTTGACATACACAGCTTATTTTGGGTAGTTATAGCTACATGGTGATTTAATATCTTGTAGTGAGATATTTTTTCTTTACCAAGGCCTGACAGTATGGCAAGAACTCCTTCATACATTGTGTATAGTTCTTTGCTGGAAATGATTTCATCTTGCTTTAGAACTCCAGGAATCTTCATGTGAACCTACTTTTGGGGCTTGGTACAGATACCACATGATACCTTTTCCTAGCACAAATTCTTCTAGTACCTGGACTCTGCTAGGTCATGTGGCCCAAATAGTAAGGCTACTTGTATCATAGCCTGCATTGGATTTAATACTCTTTTCTTGATTTGGGTTCCACTCAAAAAGTACCTGCCTTCTGTATCTCCCCTCACCCCATGACTGGGTCAGAACATTAATTCAAGTGTGGATATGCTACCCCTCCAGTATCTAGTCACGTCTACTAGGTGTGTATCTTTATTAAGATATGAGGTACAAGGTGCAATAATTTTGCCCTTTAGGAGAAAAAAATGTCATGGCATGCCTCAGATCACCAAACTCCTAAAAATTTCATTAATGAGTCAGGCTTCAGAATCATGTTGTATTTATCTCCCACTATCTGGTGTGTTTTACCAAGGTATCCAAAGTACTTGACACTTTGGCCAGGTGCGGTGGCTCACACCTGTAATCCCAGCACTTTGGGAGGCCGAGGCGGGCGGATCACGAGGTCAGGAGATCGAGACCATCCTGGCGAATACGGTGAAACCCCGTCTGTACTAAAAATACAAAAAATTAGCCAGGCATGGTGGCGGGCGCCTGTAGTCCCAGCTACTCGGGAGGCTGAGGCAGGAGAATGGCGTGAACCCGGGAGGTAGAGCTTGCAGTGAGCCGAGATCGCGCCACTGCACTCCAGCCTGGGCGACAGAGTGAGACTGTCTCAAAAAAAAAAAAAAAAAAAAAAAAAAGTACCTGACACTTCTTGTTCATAGGTATAAATAACAGGATGTCATCAATATAATAGGGCAGAGTGATAGCCTGTAGATTGTCCTGATGGTTTAGGTAACTTCAGACAATAGCTTAACAATGTGTGGATTTACCCTAGCACTGGGACATCTCATATGAATGTTTCTTTAAATGTCTCTAAAGGGGTCCTCTCACTTTAACACTTTGCTTTGAATTGGTGATTGATTGCCCTGATCCTGCCCTTCTCCTTTTTCAAAGCTTCTATGGCAATAGCCTCCTAATTCCACAACCCTTATAATGATTATTTCCTTTGTTCCCCTCAAACTCCAGAAATGTTGCATGAGCCAGTGTTTTTCCTCTTGCTTATATTCTGTCCCAGTTCATTACAAGTATAGTTTATTTATAACCTGCCAGGGATCATCAGTACTCTGACTACCACAAGTAATGGGCCCTTTGTCCAGCTGGCTGGCAAATAATTCAATTTCAGCATCTTAACCTTAAAACTGTTTCCTAGGACCACTCCTAGCACCAGCTGTTTTAGTTCATATTTTCTAAAAGCAGGTCTTGAGACAAATTCTTGTGAGTATTATTTATTTTCTTAGGAGGAAAGGAGTGAGTGATGGGATAGGGAGTGGAAGGCACTTAAACTAAGATGCAGTTTTGGATGAAGTCTAGCTTTAGTCTATTCCCTGAGGAAGTGTAGGGCATGAATTGTGATATTAAGTTGTTCCTTGAAACAAGCCCATCTCTGCCCCCAGGAAGGCATTAGCTGTGATCTGTCCCCAGGAGTGTGGGTGGGTGGGGCATAACCTCCTAGGTTAGGCAGCTCTTGCTTGGCTGAGGGCAATTACTTGGAAAAGGTTTTAGTTCCATGCCATTAACAGTCAACAACAACACCAACTAGGGGATGAGCACACCAGTCCTTGCCAAGGGGTCTGGCTAGTACACCAGCAGAATTCACTAAAGCAAGAAAAATACTTTCAGAGCCAAATATTTCAAAGAGATCAAATGGATTTAAATATCAGTTAAGTTACATTTCCAGGGATACTTAATCTTCTAGGTGGGCACAATCCACCCTATTTTTTTCTTGTGGGGTTGAGCGATGCTGTGATAGAGTGGACATTTGCTTGTTTGGATGTTATCTCTAGATAACCACAGACATTAGCATGATCTGTATTTATTACACTCCATGAATCTCTTCTAAAATTATGGTGTCATTTTCATCAATTCTGTAATTCTTCAGAATTTTTGGATATTTTGAGCTCTGAATGTTCAGGGATGGGAAGCCAGTGCCATCCTCAGCTGCCATCTGCTCAGTCCACATGTCCACATGGAGTCTGTATACTCGTGCGTTGAAAAAATCAGCAATGCTTCTTGTTCCCCTGCAGTCTCAGGTTCAGGGTGCTTGGACGTCTTGTCATATTCACAAAGATGTACAATCTTCTGAGCCACTGGGGGTCTGACAAGTTGGGTCTCTCGGAGCCTATTAATTCCAAAAAGTCCTTCATGTGAGGTAGCAGCTCAATAAATATCTTCAACAAGTTTCTATGACTCAGTCATCTGAATGCATTAAAATAAAAGAAGTCTCCATGCTCTTGTTATTCTAAACTCCTCTTCTTTCAAAGGCACACAAACTCTTTATGATTAAGGGCATACAATGAAGACAATTCAATCTGATCACTTCTACATCATGCAATGAACTTGAATTGTACAGTTCATAGCACAATGGTGTCTTGGAAGCAGAATGCGATCCTTATTTTTTGACTTGAATAAATTAGTCAAATCTTTCATTTTCATTTCAGATGCCTAATGGTGGCAGATGAACTTAGCTATTTCTTTTTAAATCCCTTTTCTCAAATTTCTTACAAGAAATAAGATCTTATTAGCTTTTGAGGTTAGCTAATTAGATAAAACTTTTCTTTTTTTTCCTTTTTCCCCTCCCTCCCTCCCTTCCTTCCTTCCTCTTCCTTCCCTCTCCTTTTCTCTTCCCCCCTTCCTTTCTTCCTTCATTCCCTTCTTTCCTTCTTTGAAAATCTCTTCACCCTCCGTAGGGGAAGAGGTGGATGGAATTTGACCCATAGGGCTTGCTTTTACTTTGGGACAAGTAAATGACTCTTAATTCTATCCAGCAGAAAGTTTCAGGAGGTGAAGGTTAATATATAATTTTATGTTGTGTAGAATGAAGTAACATTCAGACATCTTTTGAACAAAAAACTAAATTTATTTTTTGAAGACACCATATAAGAAACTTTAAAAAACTGAAATCATTTCTTCATTTCTGATACAAGTCTCTTGGGGTTCTATGAGAAAATATATCTTCCTCTCAAAAATCAGCTTAGAAGTTTGAAACAGCATATGAGTTCCCCATAGAGAAAAGCACTGATAACCAAAACTTCAAAGTTAATATGTTGCATTGAACTTATTTATTTATATCATTTATTTAAAATAGACTGGACTTCTCCCAAGGAATTCAAAGTACATAGGAAAAAGAAGAGAATGTGTTCAACATTTTCTGTGATTTCTTTTTCAATTAGAAAAGAATCTAGAGCAATGGAGTGATCCAAGACATGTATGTAGTTTGAACAGACACGGCTTGAGTATAGATTAGCTGTGGGTTTGAAAGAGAGGGAAGTATCAAACACTTGTTTGTGGACACTGAATAGATCATGGTACCATTTTCAGAGACAGGAAAGACTAAGAAGTGAGCATTTTGGAGGCAGGGAATGTATAGAATTTGAGTTTGGGGCACATTAAATTTAGATTGTTTATGAGACATCCAATCGGAGAAGGAGAGATATTAAATAAACCATTGGGTATGTGAGTTTGGGATCCTCAGAATGGTCTAAGCTGGAGATGGAAGTTTTAGATGTTGCTGACCCAATGATGGTACTGAAAGTTTTAATCACCTAAAAAAGAGTGTATACAGGAAGATGTCCCACATAGTGCCCAGAAGAACTTCAACTTTTGGAAGTCAGGAGAGTAGAAGAAGCTGGCTAAAGATACTAGGAAGTACTGGCAGCCACGTTTCAAAGAGGATTGAGTGCCAGTTCTGTTGACTGCTAGTGAGAGTTTAAGAAGAATGAGGATAGAAGAAGTCAATTAGATTTGCAAGGTGAAAGTTGTGCCCTCCTTGACAATATTAATTTCAGTATGATTTTAGGAATGGAAATAGTATGAGGGAGTTTGAAGAGTGAATAGGAGGTAAGAATTTTGATGCAGGGTTTGGAGGCAATATTTTCAAGAAGTTTGAGTATGACAGGGAGAGAGCAAAGGAGTGGCAATTGGAAGAGGATGGGGAGATAGGAGGTCAAAGGAGAATGATGTTTTTAAAGATGTGAGAACATTAGAACCCATTGGTGCTCTGGTAAGAATGAGTTGGTCTAGACGGAGAAGTTGAAGATACAAGAAAGAGAGCTGATGAATAATGTGTAATAAGATGAGAAAGAAAGGGATCTGGATCTCATTCAGAGGGAATGATTATTGATCTTGAGAAGAGATACTTTCTCTGATATAACAGGAAAAAAAAGGGACTGACAGCCACAGCAGATTTGTAGATGATATAATGATTTTGCTAATCTTTTTTGATGTAGAATAAACTTTCCTCTTAGGATGGAAAAGGATCATGTACAGACTTTTCCTAGGTGTTCTAGTAGCCAAATGTTGCATCAAACCCTTGGGTTCCCTCTAAGTGCTCTGCTTGTCACATCCATAAATCCCCTTTTAACATTCACACTCTCCTGAGAAATTCTGCCAGCAGATCTATATGGTCTCCGGAAGTTCAACCCTCCAAACCTCGGTGCTTTTAAACCTTTCCTAAAAGTTCAACAATTTGCCCATTAGCAAAGCTACTTGCCGTGACCTTCCACAACAGGTTAAGAAAAGGTGGTTCTTGTCTCTGAGCTTATTGGATATAGAAAATAATATTTCTCCTTATTCTATCTACCTTTTTTACAACATTTAATTTCCTTTGGACCTAGGGGTAAAGAAATAAATAGATACTAACTCTAATGTGTCTGAAATAAATGAGATGTTCCAGAAATCATTAACCCTAGAAAACATTCTTTATAATTTCCAAGGTGAGAACAATAGACATTAAAGAAAAAGAAAATGAGATCAGTGTTACTACTTGTGAGCAATTTGTAAATTCTGACATTACTTTAGTGGTAAGCATTAGGCATTATTAAATATGCAATTATTTAAGGATGGTTCTTCTTCATTTCTGGAAAGATGTGGCAAGTATTTCACACCTCAGAGAGACTACAACAGATAGTGATAACTGGAGTTACTGGAGAAAGACCAGGGCAGACTATAATTAAAATAAAACTTCGATTACATTTTCTCTTCTTTTGACTCAGTTTCTAACCTCTTATTGTTTCTTCCCCATGAAGAGTATGGAATGGTGAAAATTAGATCCTCCAAATACCTATGCTGGGACTTCCTTTATACCTGCTAATAATTATGGTATAAAAAGGAAGACTTCAGGGTCAAATATTAATATTTTAAAATGTGATGGAAACTTTCATCAAAATGCAACAAATTATAATTTCCTGAACTTGAATTTAAGGTAAAGGAGGAGAATTGCAGGACTAAGATACCATCTGAAACTTAGATGGGGGGAAAGAAAGGCCTAAACCTGGCTTGCATAGCTTTCTTGGTTCTCCTTGTTCTCTTTAAATTGGCTCACAGTCAGCTGAATTCCTGGCCTAGCCCCTCCTTAACAGAAAAACTATCCTCTTGCCAATGCAAGGCTGTTTCATCTCTGTTCTGGAGCTATTTTTTTTAAGCCACTTCAGTGAGTGTGGGTAACAGATTGTATTTGTCTAAAATGGTGCAATACATACACACACATACATATATGTGTGATATATATGTGTGATGTATATAAAGAATACAACAATTTGGAATATATATTATTTTGTATTCTTGTATTCTTTTTATAATAGGATATTGATATTCTTCTATTAAAGGATGGTGTATTAGGGTTCTGCAGAGGGACAGAACTAATAGGGTAGGTGTATATATGAAAGGGAGTTTATTAAGAATTAACTCACACGATCACAAGGTGAAGTCCCATGATAAGCCATCTGCAAGCTGAGGAGGTAGGAAGCCAGCAGTGGCTCATTCCAAGTCCAAGAGCCTCAAAAGTAAAGAAGTCGACAGCGTAGCCTTCAATCTGTAGCCGAAGGCCTGAGAGTCCCAGGCAAACCACTAGAGTGAGTCCAAGAGTCCAAAGGCCGAAGAATCTGGAGTCTGATGTCCAAGGGCAAGAAACATCCAGCAGGGGAGAAAGATGGAAGCCAGAAAACTCAGCAAGCCGGCTTATCCCACCTTCTTCCATCTGCTTTGTTTTAGCTGGTCTGGCAGCCGATTGGATGGTGCCCACCCATACTGAGGGTGTGTCTTCCTCTCCCAGTCCACGGACTCAAATGTCAATCTCCTCTGGCAACGCCCTCATAGACACACACAGAAACAATACTTTACCAGCTATTTAAGCATCCTTCAATCCAATCAAGTTGACACATAATGCTAACCATCACAGATGGCATCTGCGTTTCCTCTTCTTGAATCTGGATGGTCCTGTGAATACAGTAGAAGTGACATTGTATTACTGGTGAAACTAGGTTAGAAAGGCGTGTGTTTAGCTTCTGCCTGGTTCTTTCGTTCTAGATGTTTGTCTTTCAGCTCAGCCACAATGGGAGGGGAAGCATTCTAGCCCACACAGAGAGGTCACGTGGAGAAAACCATGTGGAAAAAAACTAAGACCCTCAGACAAGTGCCAGCATCAACTGCGAGACACGAGTGAATGAGTCTTCAGTAATTTTAGTCCCTCACCTTTGAGCCATTCCAGCTGACCCTGGGTGGAGCCAGGGTTGAGCTGTCACTGCCAAGCCTTGGCCAAATTATAGCTTTGTGGACAAAATAAATGTTTTCATTTATTAAGCCACTAGGTTTTGGGAAAACTTGCTCTATAGCAATAATAGCTGGAATATCTTGCTACAAAAATATTCTCTCTCTCTCTCTCTCTTTTTTGTTTTTTTTTTTGAGACAGTGTCTTGCTCTGCCATGCAGGCTGGAGTGCAGCAGTGCAATCTCAGCTCACTGCAACCTCTGCCTCCCGAGTTAAAGCTATTCTCATGCTTCAGCCTCCCGAGTAGCTGGGATTATGTGCATGCACCACCACGCTTAGCTATTTCTGTATTTTTAGTAGAGATGGGGTTTTGTCCTGTTGCCCAGGCTGGTCTCGAACTCTTGACCTCAAGTGATGTGCCTGCTTCTGCCTCCCAAAGTCCTGGGATTACAGGTGTGAGCCACCACCCCTGGCCTCTTTCTCTTTTTGGTATGTTCGATTTTTAACTCTTTCTCCTCACGCATGAATGTATTCATTTCCCACTTGAAAAACAAAAACTCTTTTGACTCTACTTTCTCTTTCCATTTATAGTCTTAGAAATCTCCTGTTCTTGAATATTCTATACTGGTACCTGTCCTTTTGGAGAAAAAAAAATCAATTAGCCAAAAGTCAATTTACTGGAAATGAAATTCATGAATGTCTAATTTGCCAAATATACCATTTACCACAAAGATGTTTACCTCAGTTGTTTGGTATAGATTGTAGGTCCCTGGGGGCTGTGGGATGCCATGGCCCTCAGACATTTCCCTACCCCTGTCCTCTCTCCTCCATTCTTTTATTTTCCTTTGCTGATTCTAGCCTTGTTCTCTGATCCTCCATTTGTCCAATTTCTTCTCCTCAACGTCCTCTCACGGTTCCATAATCTCTCTTTCTGCCCCTGAATCTGTAGTCTTCTCAGCCTCAACCTCCCCCAAGTCAACTTCCTCAGGAAACTTCCTCTCCAGGATTGGCATAATGGGCCATGCATCCTTCTCTCTTTTCCTGGCAAAGGCCTATTCTCCCTAGCATAGCTCCTAATTTGCCTAATTTTTCTCTATCCCAGCATCAGATGCAAACTGCACATTCTTTGAAATGCTATATTACAAACTCCAAATGAAAACAAGTCAATTGGCAAGTCATAAACCTCTGTAAACTTTATAAATAGATATAAGGAACATGATTTTGGCAAATTGGTAAAATCTGAAAATTTAACACATTGTCAGACTGGTCATCTAGTGGACTGACATAATACTTGGGATCCTCATCAGAGCATGTCCATTCCCTGTGCAATAGACATTGGTGAGTTGCAGTTACTCAACGGGCAAACTACATGCCTTGCAAGGCATAAGCAGCCCCATCTGACCGCTGTGTGTTGCTTCAACCTCTCTTCCACCACCTACCTTCTGTCTTATTAAAGTTCAAGGAACACTGAACTCATTAGTCTCTAGGAAGCCCTTGCACCCCCTTACACCTCTTGCCTCTGTTCCCTTGCACATCCCCTTTCTTGTTTGCAAAACTTGCTCTGCTCTTGTTCACTTGGCAAATGTCTTCTGAAGTTTCAAGTCCTTGACTTTCTGAGGCCATCTTGCACATTTAGCTGGTCTGTCATTCTGCCTCTGTGTTTGCACAGCTCTCCATCACGAGCAGAGTGTTTTATCGCAATTGAATGTCACCACTGGACTGTTAGACCTTGGAGGGCAGGCATCATAACTTTCATCTCTGTATACTCACTATCTAGCATAGATACTGGCACATAGTAGGCTCTCAATAAATCTTTCTTGATAGAATAGCATTTACCTAGAAAATATTGCTCCTACCATCTGCTGTTTAAAAGTAATTCCTTCACAGAACCAATTTAAAATTACTCCCTTAGGCTATATAATACAGAGACATATAAAAAACATAAACATGTCTGCAATTTGTTTAAGACTTCTACTAAAATCACAGTTCACTTTTGTGGTCGAAAGCCTCTTGAATATATATCTGTGTTACTAATTTCTGTTAGTTTTAGTGGAAGGAAAAAGCTGGTATCTACTAGCCCAAAGCAGGCTTCCTTTTATTAGATATTTTATCAGATAACAGGAGGCATGCCCTCACCCCACACCCATTTTTGTCTTTACTTACAGGGAGCTCAGAGCTATGTTAATTTTCGTGTGTATGATTTTCTCCAAACTTGGATTCAAGTCTTAGCTCTGTTTCTTCTTAGCTCTGTGACCTTCCTGGGCCTTAATTTCCTCATATATAAAATTGGGTGTCATAGCTGGTCAGCAGACTCACAGAAGTTTTGGAAAAAACACATGAAACATTGTAGGGAGAAACATTTTAGAAAGTGCTATCCAAATATATTACATTTTGATTGTTCTTCCTGAATAACTATCTTAAAAAATATGACTTGTACAACTTAATATTTTTAGTTCCTTCTCTTGCAGTCAGGAAACACAGAAAGGGTTCAAATATAGTAATCATACCCACTTCCATTTCCTACACTGTAGGTGAAATTTTTTAAATCTATATTTTTACGACAGTATTGAACACATATCTTTAATTGTAAGCTTCCTCAAACTATTTTATGATAGCAGACGGGGTATGTTAAAAGTAAAAATTCAATAAGAAGGAGCTAATTTGCTCCTGACAGGTAATTTCATGGGAAACTACAGATACTTATTAACTAATTCTATATAATAATAATAATAACTCATTTATTAATTTCTTATTGTGGGCCCAATTCTGCGCTAAGTGCTTAAATGCATTATCTTTATTTTTTTACTTTTTTTTTTAACAACAACAACAAAAAAAGTTGTTGCATTTTATCTGTGTAGTTTAAAGAGAAGGAACTGAGGTTTAAGAAGTTAAAGAAATCACATGGAGCTGACGCCATGCCTCATGCCTGTAAATCCCAGCATTTTGGGATGCCGAGGTGGGCGGATCGCCTGAGGTCAGGAGTTCAAGACCAACCTGACCAACATTGTGAAACCACAAAACCACGTGGTGGCATGCACCTGTAATCCCAGCTACTTGGGAGGCTGAGGCAGGAGAATCGTTTGAACCTGGGAGGTGGAGGTTGCAATGAGCCAAGATCGCACCATTGCACTCCAGCCTGGGCAACAAGAGTGAAACTCCATCTCAAAAAAAAAAAAAAAAGATATATATTCTACTTATGCCATTATTCATATTCCTTTAGTAATAAGTTATTTACTGCCCACTTTTACTCTTCAAGTCCACTGTATCTTATAGTATACCTAGTTTGGATATTTCTTGATCATATATGCATTATTGTATGATTTTTCATAATTATATTTTAAAATTGGGTCCAGTGATAATCATTCCCATTTCCTGAAAAAAATTAAAGTTAATAATTGTGTTTTAAAAATATTTTATAATATTCTTGAACTACAAATTAAAAGCAACCCTTTAAATGTGATCTTGCCTTCAGATAAGATACTATTTCTACTCACCTTGAGCTAATAAATCTATCAGACTCAAGTTGCCCACAGTGGGTTCATTCTTCTTTTTTTTTCTCACTTTTGTTTGGATTGAGATTCGCTCAGCTTTTTGAGCAAAGAACTTAAGAGACTGTACAGACAGATGATCTTTCCTTATTGTAAGACTTTAACTTCTGAATATAAGTAAATCCCTATTACAAAAAGTCCTTTCAGTTTACAGAGTGATTTACAATTGGATCTCTTGAAAGCCACCTTCTTTAAAGTCATTAAAATATTTGATTTATAAACAATGAAAGATCATAAATATTAGTGAAGTGTGAGACACCTGAACTAAAGTTGGGCGGTGTTAGGAAATATATCAAAAAACAATATTTGATCTTTTAAAAATCTTGTGTAAATTGTTTTACAGGACAAAATCTTGTATATATACTAGATATATATGATTATTTATATCTGTTATATCTCAGATCACATCTAATTTTGCTTGATTATCAAACAGAAGATTGAATATGACTTGAACTTTTAATTGAGCCTCTAATTGAATGCTGGATTTATTTGGATAAATATTCCATCATTCATCAAAGAAGATATTTCTCTTGTGTGCAGAAGATGTCATTGTTCAGAAAGTGATCCTAGACTTGACCTTATCTGTTACCTTTTGTTAGTCTTAAGTCCTTTCTTTCATATTCATGTATCTTACAATGCTTAGCAGCGTGTCTGACATTAATAGCGTGGCTAAAAACTTGATAAGTTTTAGCCATTCATCTCCTCCATCATCTCCTAGCACACTTCAACTCCAAATCATTATCATTTCATGTCTATTATAACCTTCTAACGTGTCTCCTTATCTCTCCATCCTATAGATTAATACCAGAATAGTAGTTTCTAAAATACAATATCCCATCCTGGGTAACAAAGTGAGAGTCCATCTCTACCAAAAGATAAAAAAAATTATCTCGGCTTGGTGGTGTGCGCCTGTGGCCCCAGCTACTCGGAGGCTGAGGCAGGAGGATCACTTTGAGCCCGGGAGTTTGAGGCTGCGGTAAGCTATGATAGCACCACTGCATTCCAGCCTGGGTGACAGAGTGAGACCTTCTTTCAAATAAATACATAAATAATTAAATAAAAATGCGACTTCACATATGATATCTTTCTAGTAAAGGCTTTCAGGGGCTCTGCACAATGCCCCAAACCCTTTAACTTCTCATTTATTTAGCATTTATCTACTTCCCAACCTTCTGTCCCACTATCACACTATGTCTCTGCATGGGTCCTCTGCTGCAACCTAACTGGTCTATTCATAATTTCTCAAACCCAACCTGCACAACTTCATGGCTTCTTTTCCTTTGCCTACAATTCCTTCCCCTCCTCTCCACTTAGCTCAGTGCTCTCCTTCCTTCAGGGTCATTTCAAATTCCTCCAGCAATTATTGTTACTCCAGCGCATGCCCCTTTACTTCATATTTGCTGTTATAAAGTATAACTAAGCTTTTTTTTTTTTTTTAATATATGCTTGGCCTCCCCCAAGATATTACATGTTGCTTGAAGGGAAGGATCACATCTTATTTTGCTTTCTACTTAATAGGTCATCAGTAAGACATTGTGAGTGGTAATGATTCTCTCTTCTCACTACAGTCAGCAATGTCTGGACTTACAGAGCAGTTTTTATAAGCTGCTTTCTTTGGCTTTCTTTGCCAAACAGGCGTATGTATAAGTATGTGGCTTTATCACTCTGCCTCAGAGCACTCCGAGCTCCTTGTTTTCCTCTGGGAGCAGAGGAGGTCAGGCCTGGTTAGTGTTCCCTGGAGCCGTCTCCTCTCCCGTACGTACGTTTGGAGCTGAAAAGAATCTAAAGTTAACCAGGCCAGTAGCCACAGCTCATTCCTGTCTCCTCTGAAGTATTTTGTTAGGAGGTATCTTATCGACCTTGTTGTCTTTCTTGAGGATTCTTACCCTCCTTTTAACTCCTGATTTTAGTGTTACCAAGCAATTAAAATAAAATTCTTCCTCTTTCTGAACTACCTCTGATAGTTCTTAAAAGAGAAAAAAAAAAGGCAAAACTTACATAGGGAGGCTTTTGAACTATTATTTTATTTTCAATTATTCCAGAAAGTACAGTCAAATAGAAAACACCATAAAATTTATATTTGCAATAATTCCCCACCCCATATGTCTGGTAAAACTGGACTCTTTGTTAATTACATCCAGTTATTTCACTAGTAGAAACATCCGATTTAGAAACATTTGACTTTATACTATAGAAATAAAATACAATGGAAGAGAAAAAAATGCTTTAATATACTCATAGCCTTTTATTGCTTCAGTGAGCAGGTGAGGAAGAGAGCAATTCTTTATTTCCAAATTATAAAGTACGATCAAATTTGAAGCTGTGAAAATATTGAACTTTTGCTGGAAAAAAATAAATGATTTGAAGCCCTGGTGATCACACAGAGAATCCAGACAATTTGACAGCTATGAATTTATCTCACTTGTGAATGAATAACCTTTGTAACTCACTTGGGACTTAAATATTCCAAACACATTTCCCTGGAAACACTTCAAAAGGCATAGTTCATTTCTGTCTTTACCAAACAGCCCCTTTGGCTACCTTTAGTTTGCTGGCTTTGTGGTTTGAGTAAGGACTTGAAAGTTTGAAAATTAACATAGTTAAAGGTTGCCAGTGGGTTTTGCTCCTATAATAATAAAACAAGATTAACTCTTTGATTATTTTATGGTTTAAACAGCTTCTTTTTTAACCTCTGAAATAAAAGAACTACACTGATATTATTTACAAAATTTCTGTTCTGTCCCTGAGCTCAAGTTCAATATATTTGTATTTAAAAGAGGACACATTTCCCCTAATGTACATGTAGCAGACCAGAATTACATGATTTAGTTGAATTCCACACAATTCTTAGAGACTTGCTGAAAACAAATTATTTTTCAAAGATAGATCCAGGACTTTAGGTAAAGTGTAATAATAGTTTTAGAGAGTTTCTTGCACTGTTATTTAAGGATCAAAACTACAAATGCACTTCCAGCATGGTGCTAAATTTGGAAGCTTGAGTATCAAACAGCCCTGCTTCAAGGTTCTTAGAACTGATTAATTTTTTTCTTGCCCCACTCCACATAGCAGGCACATGCTGAATATTGTTGATGCAGTAACATTCCTGTCAAATGACATGTCAAACCTGTTCCTAACTGTCATATTATAAGACTTAAAAATAGTGCATGAAAGTATAATTAAGACATTAGTATTCAATTAAAAACATGTCTATTTGGTAATCCCAGTTACTCAGGGGGCTGAAGTAGGAGGATTGCTAGAGCCCAGAGTTCTAGACTAGTTTGGGCAACATAGTAACGCCCCATCTCAAACATATATATGTGTTTATTTGGGGTAGTCTTGAAATGTTCTTCGTGTTTAAGACCATAGACTGCACTACTTTACTGTTACTGCCTGGGAAGGGTTCATGGAAAAAGATGAACTTCAGCTTCCGTGAGAGAAGAGATTGGTCCATTGCAGATGTGATGATGTTTCCAGAAATTGACATAGAAAGATTATGGTCAAAATAAAATTTTAAGCTTTAACTTTTAACAGCTGAAATTTAACCCACATTTACTTACTTTTGCCCTCATTAAAAGAAGCTATTCATTTTCATAAAATTTGTTTTATAAGCCCTTTTATTTCAAAAGAGATGTGTTTTTTGTTCCTTTGGTAAAGAAAATGCCTCAGGGTAAGCATGGCTTTTCTCCTTTTTGCATCTCATTTTAAAGGATCTTTCCTGGAAATCTGGTAAACTCTTGGACCACTTCTACCACATTTTCTTCCCCTTCCTGGCAACTGTCTCTGTCTTCTGTTACTCCATGCTCACTGGTAAGAGAATTTCTACCATCATCTTTACTTACTGACAGCTAAATCAACGTTTGCAACTGCTGCCCTAGCTTCACTCCTGTAATTCCAATGACACACTTAGATGCATAAATATGTTTGAAACTGTACCCCTT
This sequence comes from Homo sapiens, assembly GCF_000001405.40. NCBI lineage: Eukaryota > Metazoa > Chordata > Mammalia > Primates > Hominidae > Homo > Homo sapiens. Next base: position 72,461,509 of record NC_000013.11, on the reverse strand, counting down.
CTCCCTGGTTATCTACTCTTAAAGTCAGCTTCTCTCATTGGCTGTTCTCTTTCGGTTCATGACACCTTGAGATAGTAGGATGAATTTTCTTTGCCAGGGATAATTTTGTTGCAAGACACAGATACCAGTTTAAACTAGGTTAAGCAAAAGGAGACATGTGAGGAAGGATATAGAGTATTGGTATGAACTATAGGCAGGAAGAGCTGCTGGATCTCACTAGGAAGCAGGGAACTGGTCAAGTAAGCCGGACGAAGGCAGATACTCCCTCCTCTGTAGTTTTAAGTGGTGTCTTGTCATTGCTTTTCTCTGCATATCTGCCAGTTTCTTCTCCTCCACTTCCTCCTCCTCCTCCTCCTCCTCCTTTCTTCCCTCCTTTCCTCTTCCTCTTACACCCTCTTTAGTCTATTATATTTACATAGCCTCTTCATAGAGTCCCACAAATGTCTCTCTAAGCCCTGAGTCTTCCAGGACCTGCAGCTGACACTCTTCTAGATTTCAATTCCAGATTTCTGGGTTTGCATGGTCCAGAATGAGCCTCATGCAGTCTTCATCACCCAGCTCAGTTCAATCCATGCTTGATCAAAGGAGGAATGGACGATTCAGTATAAGTATGAGGAACTATAAAGAGCCATGTTCCATAGCTGAGCAGGAGAACATGAACCTAGCAGCACCTTTAAATTGTCTACTAGGTAGTCGAAAGAACATTTTGTACCATCCTCCAAGGGGATAATGTTTACTATCAGAGGTTCCATTTCTTTATTTCCAGGATGAACATGTTTTGCAGATTAATTTTAGTGTGCTACACAAATGTAAGACGCTGTCTTAGTCATTCCAGTTCTAAAGTTTGATGTCATGGTTGTTCTTTGCCTCCTAGATCTTACCAGTCACCATTGTTTGTCAATTATTTCTTCACAATGTCTATTGAAGGATCTCATCACCTTTAGAGAGCTGTGGTCATGCCCCTTAAAGTGAATTTGGAGGTTTTATACCCCTCGTGGCAAGTTCCTGCTGGGACCAGCAGCTGCAGCCACTTAGTCCCCAAGTCAGCCCCAAGTTGGGGTCCTCAGGCAATTGCTGTGCCTGACAGGATGTGCCAGGTCATTGGGCAGGCACTTGATAGGTTTGCCAAATGCCCAGAACCTAATGAATGCTGTAATCTTGTCCCCTCCCCATTCTACAGACCAAGAAATGGGTGCCCGACACTGTACCTGGGTCCCCTAGATTCAGATCATGAAGGTGGAAGAGATCTTGGCTAGCAAGTGCCATTGGCTACCCACCAAGCAGTTCCATAAATCCAAGATTAAGTTCCCACTGTCCTACTGGGTCCCACATCGCCAGCACAAGCTGGTCCCACTCCACCACCAAGAGATCCAACACCTTCTTCTAGGTGCAGGGCCCTCCTCACCCTGGGTCTGCCCAAATAAACTCTTCAAGAATGCCAAAAACAAAATCCACCATCACACAAATGTTTCCTGATTCCATTTCTTTCCCTGATCCTCCCTTCTACTGGTACCAACTTTCTTGCTGAGCTTCTTATCATCTTCCCCATTTCTCCTATTATAGAAGCTTTTTAATTTTAATTATTCATCCTACTTGTAGTCTCTTTTTTTGCCAATTCATCATTCATATTGCTGACAAGTTGGTCATAAAGCACTCCTTCAATCTTGTCATTCTCCTACTTGAAGACTTCAGTGACTCCCCACAGCCTACCAGAAGTCCAAATGGCTTATTCTGACAGTGTAAGACCTTGACCATCACTGCAACCTTTGCAGACAGCTCTAACTATTCACTTCCCTGGCTTTGTACTCCAGCTAAACTCTGCCCTAACCTGCCTTGAACTTTTCTAATTTTATGCTTTTGCTTAAACCAATTTTGCTGGCCTGAAATGCACTCCTTTCTCTCTGCCTCCATAAATCCCATCCATCATTCAAGTCACAGTGCAAGTCCTTTCTTTGTGAAGCCTTCCAAATTCAGTCCAGCCCAAGTGATGCTGTGTGCTCTTAATTATAACTCTGAATTAGTATTTTTTGCCTGTCCCATTCATTTAACAAGTCCTCTACTTCCGAGAATATAATTCTGTTGTGCCGTGCAACTTAAAAACCTTTCAATGGTTTTGTTTCTTCAATTAGATTATATATTTCATGTGGCAGAGACATTTCTTCTATCTTCCTCATGACACCAATTACCATACCTTACACAGAGGAAGAGCTCCTAAAATACTAAACATTAAGACAGAAATATCTTCAGAGAGTTTTCCACAATGCTGAATATATATCAACCTGCTAAAACTTGGTTGATTTTTCATTTTAATTTGTTCTTCTTATACTATTTGTATTTTAATTCATTCTTCTCTAAAATAAATAAAATTTAATTTTTTTCATTTCAAATAAAGCAAAAAATGTTAATTTATAGACTTTAAAAATAGGAATTGTTTTATATTAACATGGAAGTTACAGCTTTCAGGTTGCAGTACAACTTTAGTTGTGGTTACAGTTGTAGTTTCAGTTTTCAGGTTGCAGTGTGAAGGGTGGAAGTGTGAGATTGTTGACTGACTCCTAGTATCTCATTATCTGAGTCATAGAATGGGAGGAGAACAGAATTGATTTCCAGGCACAGAAAAACGTCCTGTTACTTACAGGGCTAGGCAAAAGGCAAGGAGTATGTCAAATGTTAAAATGCAGTGGCCTGTTGCCAAAAGAAATGCAAAACAGCATTAAGAATGCTTGGTTGACCTTGAAGAGTGAACTGCTGGTTCTACAAGTTTCTAATGGCTTAGGACAAGGTTTTTGTCATGGGGAGAAGCTAGTCTTTAACTTCTCCCTCATCACAAATTTCCACTCAGCTTTCTGGGAACTTTTTTCTATTTTTTTTTTCCCTGTGGGAATGCATATTTGATATATTTGGAGTAAATGGAATAATATTTATTTGGAAAAAAGAAGCTTAGCATTTAATTTGCTAGTTTACTCAGTAAATTGAAGACTTGATGCAGTAAATACCAACAATACAATGCAATTATAGATATAATTTCTTGCATCTCATGGGGAGAAGAGTATAAAGCAAAATGTAACTATAACCATAAGACCATAAGAAATCAGATTTAGGAACTGAGATATTTCTGGTATAATTAGAGGTAGATGGGGTTATTTTGATTTTATCTGTGCCTACCTTTCTTAAAATTACACATGTGGATATATGATCTCTTTGAAAGAATCTTCTGATGTTAAAATCATATTTGTCCTATCAATTAGAATTTTTCCTTTCCTCTTTGGATGTGTCATTTCTCTGAGATAATTGTTCTAAGGCCTCTTTGGTTTTCTAAGCTTTAATTGTATTTGATACCTCCTTAATGTAACTTATATTTCCCCAAATTTGTATGTTTTTAAAGCCATGCAGTTCTGAAAATATTAATCCTGGTCATTGATTCATTCTACATTCCAATGAGTGTTTGCTATGTGGCAGGCACTGTGTTGGAACCAATGACAGAGTACGAATCATAGAATCACAGAACTCTAACATCAGAAGCAATTGTTTTTAGTGTTGATATCCTTCTCTTCACAATGACAGAAGCAAAATTGAAGAGTTTAAGTTTCCAAGGGTCTTAAGCAGTGGGCTTATTCCTCCTAGACCTTCTTGAACCTATGAATGCTTTTTTAAGTCCTTTTGTTAGTCTTTGACAGCCATCTCTCTGGACTTTACCTTCTTTGTTGAATACGTTTCTTTAAAATTGGAGCTTATCAGAAAGCTCTCTCCTCGTCCATAGTGATTTCTTTACATAATAACCTTTAAAATTTTTATAGAGCTATGTCATTAATACAATTGCTATCAAAGCTTAGAATATAACAGAAAAAAATGCGCATGGTATATAATGTCGTGCAATATGAAGGTGCCATCAGATAGAGAGGAAGTAGAGCTAACAAATACCAAACAAACAAAAATGTAGTGTTTACATCTTTTTACAACTGGGAAAAGAACCAGGGAGATGGGGGTGGGGATAGGGCATGGTGGTTAGGATTTGACTCCAGGTTTTTCTAAATACAAACACAGTGCTATTTCCACTGGGCACCGTATCTCCAAGGTAGCTGCATTTGGACAATTTACTTGTCAGGATCACTTGTGTCCTATTTCCTATTTTTGAAGCCACAAAATTGTGACCTTGACACCCATGGGTCCCTTATAATTCTTTTATTAGGATACCAAATATGATAGCAGATGTTCAAAAATGCCTAGAAGATTGTTTGGACATAAAACTGGGCCTGACATATGGTGGTAAAAATGTTAACAGGTGCATCTGAAAAAGAAAACAAGAGAAGAAAAAGAAAAGCATTCTTCATTTAAGAGGAAAAAAAACCCAAACCTACTTTAGGCCTAAGGAGAATGATTGGCTTAGCATACATTCATTTAACTAATTACAGAAAATATAAATATGTTTTTACAGCATAAAGGTTGAGTCGACTTGGCATGGAAATTTTAGAAAAAATATACAGCATTTGTTGTACTACCTTTAATTAATTACTATTATTTTACACTTGGAAGGTGGACATTTTAAATAAAAAGTTGATGAAAGAGAGAACATTTGGCATCATTACAAGATTTGAAGAAGCAGGTTCCTATTATTTCTGCCAAAAAGTATTTGGGACTGATTCCAGCTCATTCTTTCAGCCAAACATCTATATTTTAAGTTTATCAATATTTTCAATGTTTCAGAGCAAGTATGAAATTACCACCTTGATAACCTGGTACACTTAACTGAAAAATTTTTATAATCCTAAAACAGAATCTGTGGCAGAGTGTACTTTTTTTTCTCTGTTATTTCCCTATCTCCTCCTTCACAGTTTGGATGGGAAAGAACATCCTGATAATGTTCAGAGCTGTTGTAGAGAGTTCTTTGGTTCACAATGGAATGAGAAAGAGACTAAAAGTGATAGACATAAAACTGAAACAATGATCTGATCCTGTATCATTCTTCGTCTCTAATAATCCGTATGTATAATTTCAAGAGCTTTGGTGCATTTATGGGTGTTTATGGACTTTACAATGAAAAAAGGCAAGAATATTCGAGCCTCCTTCTATAGCAATATACCTAAAGTTATTAAGCTGCAATAAATGCATTAAGAAAAGTATTTAGTAAAATACCTACAGCGCATAATAAATTTTAGAATATGTCATAATGCTGCAATTTGTAAAGCTGAAAATCTTCTTGGTTTTCAACTTCCGAGTATTTGGGTGCATCTTCCTCTCGTATAAAGCTCAAGGGTATACAAGTTTCAGCGACCACAAAACAACTTGGTGAGTGTTAAGCGTATCCAATTGGCTTTTTAAAAAGATGACATGGAAAGCTTAGAAAATCAGTCCTCTTTCACTCCACCAGACATTGTGCCAGTTGTTCCTTGGTGATCATTCTAATTGTATAAAAATGTCTTTTATTTTTAAGCCTAGTCCACTTCTGCTTTAAGTACTATGAAAAACATTTCTTATTTTTTGGCGATATTGGTTAACTTTTAATTACTCTTCCTTTCTATGGTTGAGCTCAGAATTATTTCATTGTTTGTAACACATCACTAAGTAATAACTGTTATCTACAGGCTGCATCTGCCAGAAGATAACCAATATTGTTAGTCTACATTGCCAGAAGTTTAAATTCCTTATCCTCAAGCAAAATTTCATAAGAGGACCCTCAGTATTTTTCTAAAAATCATCCATTTTTGAAGAGGTAAATAAGTAGCTCTTCAGATATCTTTTTAATATAAGTGAATTCTTCTGTACTTTTTAGTAACAACTTCAATGGAATATAGGGAAATACTGTACAATTTACTTCTATAAGTGTACAATTCAAATTTTTTAGTGTGTTCACTGAGTTATACTATTATCACCACTATCTAATTTCAGACCATTTTCAACATCCCAAAGAGAAACCCTGTACCCATTAGCAGTTACTCTCCATTCTTCCTTCTCCCACGTCCTGGCAACCACAAATGTACTCTCTGTCTCTTTGGATTTACCTACTAAGGATATTTCTTACAAATGGAGTCATCAAATATGTGGCTTGTTGTATCTGACTGTTTTTAAAAAAATTTAACATAATATTTGTAAGGTTCATCCATGTTGTAGCATTTATCAATATTTTATTCCTGGCAGGGCTTACAGGTGGCTCATGCCTGTAATCTCAGCACTTTGAGAGGCTGAGGCAGGCAGGTCACTTGAGCCCAGGAGTTCAAGACCAGCCTAGGCAACATGCAAAACTCTGTCTCTGTAAAAAATACAAAAAATTAGCTGAGCATGGTGGTGCATGTCTGTGGTCCCAGCTACTAGGCAGGCTGAGGTGAGAGGATCACCTGAGCCTGGGAGGTTGAGGCTTCAGTGAGCCATGATTACTCCACTACACTCCAGCCTGGGCAACAGAGTGAGGCCCTGTCTCACAAAATTTTTTTCATTCTTTTTCATGGCTGCGTATTATTTCATGACATGCATATACTGCACTTTATTTTTCCATTCATCATTTGATGGACATTTGAGTTCTTTCCAATTTTTGGCTAATGTAATTAATGATGCTATGAACATTTGTGTACAAGTTTTTTTATGTAGACATATGTTTTTAATTCTTTTGGGTATGCACCTGAGAGTATTAATAGAATCTCTGGTCATATGCAAACTCTGTGTTTAATTTTTTGAGGACCTGCCAAACTGTTTTCCAAAATGGCTGCATTTTATAATCTCACTAGCTTTGTGTGAGGGTTCCAATTTCTCCACATCTTCACCCAGACTTGTTCTTTTCTATAGCTACATATTTGTATCTGTGGGGAAGCAGCTCCACATTACATTTATTAAATATTTAGTAAAGAATCTCTGCTTTTGTACATCTCTGTTTCCATGATTATTGTCCATTCCAACCTCATCTCGTCTTTGAACAACTGCAGCAACTCTTAAATGCTTCCTTCATGATATCCTTATGTATACAATAGCCACAGAGATCTTTTAAAAATGTATGTGGCAAACACAAACGTTATTTCAGAAAGCACGTGTGCTAGAATTTTTTCTGTGAATACTTCTGTATCTGCAATAAAACATCAGTAAAATCTAAGTTTTTTTCAGGCTCTTTGAATTTAGATTTGTAGTTCTTTTAAATATATCTCTGAGTTTTGATTTGCTTTAACACTGGTGATGGAAGTTGTGGTTCATTTGGGTTTTATCTGCAAAACATTTAGATTAAAATGGCAGTAAAAGTCAAGCATTTATAAGATGATACTAATAGCTAACTTATATTGAGTACCTACTACGTACTGAGCAGTTATCTAAGTACTTTCTATATGTTTAACTCATTTATTCCTCATAAAAATTCTGGTGAGGTATTATTAAACTTATTTCACACTACAGGGGAATAGAGGGACAGAGAAGTTAAGTAACTCACCCAATGTCACACAGCCAGTAAGTAGTAGAGTCAAGATTCTAACCAAAAAATCTGGTTACAGAGCCCACATCAGTAGCCACCAAACTATCCTGCCATTTTGTCTTACTTATTGTCTGAAATATATAAGACTTAAAATAGTAGGTGACGACCAATATTTTTTTTACTTTGACTTGATGTCTATTGAAGAAATCTAGCATCTGAGACTATGGGGAAAAAAAAGAAAAACTTTAAAAAATTAAAAAATTAAAAGTTAATCATTTTCTGGTATTCAATAGGGTAGTTTAAAATATTCACACTTTTATTAATTTTGAATAATATCACCATGTCCAATTATAAGGTTGTATATTTTAAACATCCATGTTTCTATAATACCACCTAGAGGTTTACAGAATTACTTCTGCCGTACTTAAAAACAACAGCTTGAGCAAAAAAGTACTGGACAACTTAAAGGATAACTTCTAAAAGACACTCTTGGAAAAATAACATTTTCTGAAATGTACACAATAGTCAATGTCATGATATTGCCTGCCAGTTCACGTGCTACTCTTTCCTCCACGTACGTCTTTTAAACCATCTAACAGAACATTGTGTGTTTCTGAACATTTACATTCAATTTGTTAAATGTCACCGGGGAAAAATAAAACAGAGAGGACATCAGCTAATAATGTACTTTTACATTCCGTCATCCTATGCATGGTTCCATGTCTTACCATGCTGACCTAATTTGCCATGACAGGAACATGGCCCTGATTTCAGAACATTCCAACTGTGGCAATCACTAAACCTTATTGGGAATTTTTGCCCCCTTAGCAAATTGAACCAGATTGCTTTTCTCAGGACCATTTGAGATGGGTATCTGTGAGCAAGGCGGGTGGGCTGTGATGAAGAGTTGAGAAATGGAGCTTTTATATTACAAATATACTGAAGCTTTATGTAAATGTGTATCATTACAGGGTGACTGATTTTTGCTGTGAAGGTAGATTTGGGGAGAAAAAATTTAAAAATCATATTTTATTAATACTTCCTAATGTGTGGCCTTGGGCAAACCTCTTTCCTGAGTTTCCTCAAGTCTAAAATGAGGATGATAATGATAATATCTATATTTCAGAGTTTATCAGACAATTAGATAAGGATTCACTCTAAGTAAGGATTTAGAACAATATCCAGCTTCAAAAAATATAAATTCTGATTGTTATAATTTTTACTTTAACATTTTTGAAATAAAAATTATTCTATGTTTACAAGAATAATTTATCCTTAAATTCTTTGGCTGGCTGATCAACTGTAATATATAGATTGTATTATATTTCTATAACAACTTATGGTGCACCAGTACTTGATCATAGGCATATAATTCGTATGCATGTCTCAGGCCTCAGCAGCCCACAGGTAAAAGTGTTGTTTCATCAAGATTAATAGTGGGCTTTTGACAGTGCCTGGCCCCCATCTGTTTGCCCAGGATGTCAGTTTCCATGCTTTTACATTTCTTCTAGTAGCTTCATGTGTTAGGATAAGTTTCGTTCACCATCTCCTATGTGAACTTCTTCATCAAGAGTCCTCACTAGTCCCCACACCAGAAGCCCTCGGGAGACTGATGTACTGTCCGCATGTGTGCCACCTGGAGCCCTCAAAGACATGGGGCATTGATGTGGACAAGAATGTCTGCCCTCGCAACCCCCAAATGCTCAGTTAGGCTTGGTTTCTTGGGTCCCTGAAGGGGCCCCACCTGAGCCCGGAATCTCACACTTGGTTTATTGTCTCCTTAGACCTCTCACATAGGAGAGTATCTTGCAGATACTGAACTGGAACTTTAAAAATTCCCCTCTTTGAGTCATATTACCGTCAGGATTTGAACATTTTACCTTCAAGTATAAACCGAGAGAGGGAGAACCCTGATGCTGCCCGGAACAGAAGAATTTAGTCAGCATTCATTTTTTGAGCTCTTTAGTGAGGCTGTGGCTTTGTAGGGAGGTCTCTAAATAACGCTTTTTTAAAAAAAATATGTTAAGTAGTGGGCCTGGAGACTGGAACAGAAGTTCTCAAATTTTTGGTCTCAAGATGCTTTTTAACTCTTAAAAAATTATGGAAGACCGTAAAAGCTTTTGATTTATGTGAGTTATTGATATTTACTTAATAGAACTTTAAACTGAGAAGTTATAAAATAATTAAATATACAGTCATGTGTCACTTAATGATGGGGCTACATTCTAAGAAATGTGTCATTAGGTGATTTCATCATTGCGGGAATATCACAAAGGGACTTACTCAAACCTAGACGGTCTAACCTATTACCTATCTAGGTTATATGGTCTAGCCGTTGCTCCTTGGCTACAAACTTGTACAACATGTTACTCTACTGAATACTGTAGGCAATTGTAACACAATGGTAATTAATTGTGTATCTGAATACATCTAAACATAGAGCAGATACAGTAAAAATATGGTAAGAAAGATTTTTAAAAAGGGCACATTTGTGTAGGACACTTAGCAGGAATGGAGCTTGTGGGACTGGAAGTTGCTCTGGGAGTCAGTGGGTGAGTGGTGAGTGAATGTGAAGACTTAGAACATTACTGTCCACTACTGTAGACATTATAAACACTGTACACTTAGGCTACACTAAATTTACTTAAAAACTTTTCTTTCTTCAATAATAAAATAACCTTAGCTCACTGTAAATGCTTTACTTTGTACACTTTTAAATTATTTTAAAACTTTTTAACTTTTTTGCAATAACACTTAGCTTAACACATTGTACAGATGTAAGAATATATTTTCTTTATAACCTTATTCTGTAAGTTTTTTTCTACTTTTACAATTGTTTGTTTTTCTTTGTAAACTTTTTTTTTGTTAAAAACAAAGACACAAACACACACATTAGCCTAGGCCTGCACCGGGTGAGGATCATCAATATCACCGTCTTCCACTTCCACATCTTGTGCCACTAGATGGTCTTCAGGGGCAATAACATACATGGAGCTGTCATCTCCCGTAACAAGGCCTTCTTCTGGAATACCTACTAAAGGACCTGCCTGAGGGGCTGTTTCACAGCTTTTTTTTTTTCTTTTTGTAAGTAGAAAGAGTATACCCTGAAATAATAAAAAAAAGTACAGTATAGTAAATACATAAACTGGTAACCTAGTCATTTGTGATCACTATTAGTATTCCATACTGTACATAATTGTATATGTTGGACTCTCATACAACTGGCAGCACAGTAGGTTTTTTTGCACCAGCTTCACCATAAACACCTGAGTGATGCATTGTGCTGCAATGTGATGGCTACAATTTCACTAGGCAATAGGAAATTTTTCGGCTTTATTATAATCTTATATGACTACTGTTGTATACACTGTCCGTCATTCACTAAAATGTTATGTGGTGCTTGACTATACATTGACTTTAAAATATCAGTGATAGCAATAAAAATCAATAATAAACTCATTACATGTTACCATAAATATTTTTCTTTTAAAAAACTATATTTTCCGAAACTAGAAAAAAATTAGAAGAGTGGCACTGCTTAATATTTTGCAAATGTCTGGCTTAATAGAAAGCACCTGGATTCTCATGTCTTCTGTGTTCAGTGTTTTAAGATACCACACATCATGTAGCTTCTGGAAAATGGCACCGTATGAGTGTAAAAGAATGAGAGTGAAAAGGAAAGTAACATTTTAGTATATGAGAATGGTTTTGATCTTGCAGACCTCCTGAAAAAGGCTTACAGGCCCCATGTTGAGAACTTCTGTCCTGCAGCTTGAGTAACTTATTCCATGGGGAGATTGCAGGCTACTGTTTAGAGAAAAGCTGTCCTCGCCAGTCTTGGTGATTGCGGAAAGAATAAGCGGAGAGCAAGGCAGAAGAGGCAGTGTATGAATACATCCTAATCTCCTTCTGGACCCAAATCCAGCCTTTGTGACTGGGGGAATTGCATTTATCCAGAGGTGTTCCTGGATGATACCTTAGAGGAAAGGTACAGCGTGCAAGGATGAGGAATGTTTGAGTTTGGCTTTCTTGAGCTGTTCCTTTTACCCAAATGGAGAGGGTAGGACATTGAAGAGGGATGGATAATGAAATCTGAATGGGAAACTCACCAGAGGAAATCAGAGTAGTGGAGACGAGTGGCCCTGTGGCTGAGGGCTGTGGGGCAGACCTCTTGGGACTAGAACCAAGGGGGAACCACAGCCGCTTCTCAGGGCTTCTTGGCATCCACAGGTGCTCATGAGCTGGGGCGTAATTGGCAGGGACAACTCCAGTCTCTGACTGAATGGTGAGAGAACTGAGCATAGGTGCTAGTGGGGCCAGCTACCAGGCATCTGAGATGTACTGCTGGAGAACAAGTGAAAAGACGTGGATGTGGATTCCTCCTTTCTCCTCCCGTTAGAGGCCCCTTAGGCTCTACTTTTGCTTACCCTCAGTTGCCATCTTGGAGTAAAGCAGGATGTGGTAGAAGAAATCAGAATGGTTGGATATTTATGTTAAAAAAGGCTAAGTTACCTTTAAAAATTCAAATTGACAGATTGACAGAAATTAGTGGATTATTGCTGTGGTTTGAATGTGTCTCCTAAATTTGATGTGTTGGAAATGCAATATCCCAATTTATATGTTGATGGTATTTGGAGGTGGGGCTTTTGGGAGGTAATTATAATAAGATAAGGTTATCGGGTGAGACCCCTATAATGGGGCTGGTAGCTTTATAAGAAGAGGAAGAGAGACCTAAACAGCACAGTTACCCTCACCATGTGAAGCCCTTTGCCAAGTTATGATGCAGCAAGAAGGCCCTCACCAGATGCCAGCACCATGCTTATTGATTTACCAGTCCCTAAAACTGTAAGCTAACTGAAACACTGTTATTTATAAATTACTCAGTCTGTGGTATTCTATTATAACAACACAAATGGGCTACGAGAATTGTATACCTAATGTAGGCTCTTTCTCCTTCTTCTGCTACCTAACATGTTGGAACTTTATGAGTGAGATCAGATAGTTATAGAAAATATAAAGCTACTGTATTAGTCCATTTTCACATTGCTATAAAGAAATACCGGAGACTGGGTAATTTATAAAGGAAAGAGGTTTAATTGACTCACACTTCAGCATGGCTGAAGAGGCCTCAGGAAACTTACAATTATGGCAGAAGGCAAAGGAGAAACAAGCACCTTCTTCAAAAGGTGGCAGGAAAAAAGAGAGAGAGTGAAGAAGGAAGAGTCCCTTATAAAACCATCAGATCTCATGAGAAATCACTCACTCACTATCATGAGAAGAGCATGGGGGAAACTGCCCCCATGATCCAATCACGTCCCACCAGGTCCCTCCCTTGACATGTGAAAATGACAAGTTAGTTACTTCCACGATACAATGGGGTACAGGCATTGGATAAATTCTCTAATTTCAAATTGGAGAAATTGGCCAAAACAAACGGGCCACAGGCCCTGTGCAAGTCTGAAATCCAGTGGGCCAGTCATTAAATCAAAAGCTCCAAACTAATCTCCTTTGGCTCTATGTCTCACATCCAGGGCACACTGATGCAAGAGGTGGGTTCCCATGACCTTGGGCAGCTCTGCCCCTGTGGCTTTGCAGGGTACAGCACCCCCCAGCTGTTTTCATGGGCTGGTGTTGAGTGACTGTGACTTTTCCAGGTGCACATGCAGGCTGTTGGTGGATCTACCATACTGGGGTCTGGAGGACAGTGGCCCTCTTCTCACAGCTCCACTAGGCAGTGCCCCAGTGCAGACTCTGTGTGGGGTCTCCAACCCTACATTTCCCTTCCATACTGACCTAGCAGAGATTTTTTTCATGAGGGCTCAACCCCTGCAGCAGACTTCTGCCCAGACATCCACGTGTTTCCATACCTCCTCTGAAGCCTAGGCCAAGGTTCCCAAAGCTCAACTCTTGTCTTCTGTGCACCCACAGGCCCAACACCACATGGAAGCCACCAAGACTTGGAGCTTGCAGCCTCTGAAGCAATGGCTTGAGATGTATGTTGGTTCCTTTTAGCCACAGCTGAAGCTGAAGCAGCTGGGATGCAGGGCGCCATATCCCAAGGGTGCACAGAGCATCAGGTCCCTGGGCCCAGCCCACAGAACAATTTTTCCCTCTTAGGCTTCTGGTCCTGTGATGGGAGGGGCTGCCACGAAGTTCTCTAATATGCCCTGGAGACATTTTCCCCATTGTCTTGGTGATTAACATTCGATGTTACTTATGCAAATTTCTGCAGCTGGCTTCAGTTTCTCCCCGAAAAATGGGTTTTTCTTTTCTACCACGTGGTCAGGCTGCAAAATTTCCAAACTTTTATGCTCTATCACCTCTTGAATGCTTTGCTACTTAGAAATTTCTTCTGCCAGATACCCTAAATCAGCTCTCTGAAGTTCAAAGTTCCACACTTCTCTAGGGCAGGGGCAAAATGCCACCAGTCTCTTTGCTAAAGCATGGCAAGAGTCACCTTTGCTCCAGTTCTCAAGAAGTTCCTCATCTCCATCTGAGACCATCTCAACCTGGACTTCATTGTCCACATCACTATCAGCATTTTGGTCAAAACCATTCAACAAGTCTCTAGGAAGTTCCAAACTTTCCCACATTTTGCTGTCTTCTTCCGAACCCTCCAAACTATTCCAACCTCTCCTCATTACCCAGTTCCAAAGTCACTTCCACGTTTTCAGGTTATCTTTATAGCAGTGCCCCACTCTTCAAGATGCCAATTTCTTGTATTAATCTGTTTTCCCACTGCTATAAAGAATATGTGAGACTGGATAATTTATAAAGAAAAGAGGTTTAATTGACTCACAGTTCCACATGGTGGGGAAAGCCTCAGAAAAACTATAATAATGGTGGAATGCAAAGGAAAACCAAATACCTTCTTCACAAGGTGGCAGGAAAAAGAGAATGAGAGTGAATGGGGAAGAGCCCATCAGTGGGTTCTTGAATCTCATGAAATCTCACTGTTACGAGAACAGCATGGGGGAAACTGCCCCCATAGTTCAATCACCTCTCATCAGGTTCCTCCTTTGACAAATGGGGATTACAATTTGAGATGAGATTTCGATGGGGACACAGCCAAATCATATCAGATGCTCGATTTCTCTTCATGTTTGAGTGAAGTGTGCTTAAATTAGTAACTGCACGATAGCTCACAATAAGTCCAAGAAGCCTGAAAGAAAGCCATTGTGCCATTCTTTATTACCTTACCTCTCCCTGTGTCTCAATTCCCAAAACTTCTCACTTTCTTCTAACCCCTAACAGTATTCTCATGCATACTACCTTTTGTATATGGAGCCAGCAAGGTTACTGGTCTGCCAATTCCCCACCAATTTTTTTTGAGTCTGTAATAACTAGATCACTTTGCTGTATCTCTCTTTGTGTGTATATGTGTGTGCGTGCATGCTTATGCATATATAATTTTAGAAGTATGTATGTTTAGGAGTATGTATGTTATATATGCTTATGCATATATAATTTTAGGGATATGTATGTTCTACTCAAAATCTTTGAAATTGTCTACATTTTAAGACTCTAGGGTCAGAGTTTTCATAGATGAAATAAGGAGTTTGAGTTTTTTCCTGTTATTCTTCACAAATTTTTGATTTACAGTACTGGGCCTAATCCGTATTACTAATATGATGTACTGGATTTCTGCTGTGAGTCCTTTTAGACCTATTCGTCATTCTATTTCCTGATCCCTACTCTCTGCTGCTGGTAGGACTTATTTGGAATAGAACAGTAAGCTTCCTTGCTCACTGGTTCCCTCACCCACTGATTTTCACCAATGGGGTAAACCAGCTGGGCATCAGAGGGAGGGTTAAAAGTGAGGTTGGCTCCCTACCTGCAGAGTTGCCAAGAAGTGACTACCTAGTTTAAGGTTATGGCTCTGCCAGGTGGCCCTGTCCTCGCAGCCTCCCTTGTCTCTTGTTTCCTTTGACTGCTCTACCTCCTTTAGGCCTGGGGACAGTGATGGCCTTCTACTCTTACTAGCTCTAGATACTGTACTCTCTCTGTGGCTTCCCTACATGTCATCCATAGCTTTGTAAATAGTTAATTGAATATTCCTCTCATTATGCAGTGAGCCACCTGTTCTCACCAGGAGCATGACTGATATACATGGGCATCTTTAGTTTATCAAACCCAGTTTTCTCAGCAGTAATATAAGTCCCTGTCATCTTATTTATAATGCTGCATCTAGAACTCAGCATCTGAAATTACTTATAGATTAAGTGTACTATTCAATTCTTGAATATAGAGCTTGTATACTTCTTAAAACCAGGGAAGGGGGAAATCATCAGACCTTATTTCAGGGGCTTGTGTTTGCCCAATTTTTTCCCTTCCTCCCTCCCTTCCTCTCCTTTCTCCCTTTTCTTTTTTTCTTCCTTCCTTCTCAAACACGTATCTCAATCTGGGAAACTACATCCCAATAATCTTGTGTGGATTGGCAATAGTAAAAGAGCTTTGAAATAGTTAATGTCATAGAATACTTTTTCTTTTCTTTTGAACCAAGATAGAGCTTTTAAGACAGTTCTTTCTTATCTTGGATGATGGCAATGCAGCAGCTACAATATTTCAAAGGTCAGGCCCAGTACATGATGGAAAGCTGATGAAAATAGCTCTTGAGTTAAATCTGGGTAAAACTAGTAGTGTAGAACAGTAATTGATAAGAATAGGGTTTTGGCTAGGAACATCTTAAACTTACGGTCAGTTAAAGATAGTGAAATCTGCCCAGGAGAATTGTGAGTCTGAACTGGCTCACAGCAGAGAAACCATCAAATCAAGTTCATCATCCCTTAAATAAAGAGGAAGCATTAGATCTCAGGCTAATATTATAACTGAGACTGTGTAAAAGCTATCTTGAATATTACATGAAGATGGCTGTCAAGATAACTGTGTATTCAGTAGCACATCAAGGATTTTCTTATTGACAGGATAAAACACTAGGACGAAATCAGCAGCTGGTGTGATGATGTTGTTTTACATGTGCTTGGGATGATTCTGCCAAATGTATTCTACTTTGCATTTTACTTCATAGAGGAATTCTTGTTTCTCTTAAGGAGCACAGTAAAAATGAATAAAATAAATCTTAATTTATACACTCTCAGTGTAGAAATATTGGATATTTAAAATATAGATCTCATCTGTGGAAATTATTTCACTTCAAATAATTTAGACAGTTGCCAAATTCTTTGAGGATTGCCTTACTGTTGTTATTGGAAAGTGTACCTTGGGATTCATTTTACATCTCCAATATCAGTTCAGTGCATTTGCTTTCATAAAATTTTGGTCTGTGCTTGCCACTGAATTTGAGAGAAGTCTCCAAATTATTGAATCAGAGGCTTCCCCTTCCCTCAGAATCCCTCATTTTCCAATGATAAAAAGTCTACCAATTGTTCAAACCAAACACAAATGACAACTTCTCAAGAAGCTTTACCAGATCCCCCAGGTCCTAATTACCCCTTTCCATTTTTTAGCATAAGATCTTACATGTACCTTTACTGAACCCTTATTTCCTTCTACTTTATAGTATAGAAACATTAAAGAGCTTCTGCACAGCAAAAGAAACTATCAATGGAGTAAACAGACAACCTACAGAATGGGAGTAAACTTTTGCAAACTACACATTTGACAAAGGTCTAATATCTAGCACCTCTAAGGAACTTAAACAAATTTACAAGAAAAAAACAAACCCATTAAAACGTGGGCAAAGGACATGAACAGACATTTTTCAAAAGACCTACACGCAGCCAACAATCATGTGAAGAAAAGCTCAATGTCACTGATGGATAGAGAAATGCAAATCAAAACCAAAGTGAGGCACCATCTCACACCAATCAGAATGACTATTATTAAAAAGTCAAAAAATAACAGATGCTGGTGAGGCTGTGGAGAAAAAAGGAACACTTTTACACTGTTGGTGGGAATGTATATTAGTTCAACCATTGTGGAAAATAGTGTGGTGATTCCTCAAATGTAAGCTTCTTTAATGTAAGTTACTTATTTACTTTTTAAAAAATCTAGTAATAGCTTTCTGGTGCTTAATCAGGATTGCTGAATAAATACATTAGATTTAGTAGGCAACTCTTTTTTTTAAAAAAACATACTCTTAAGTACTGTGCTCGATGATAAGAAAATGTTCTAAGCTACTTACAGATAGACCTTAAGTGCTTAGCAAGACACAAATAGAATACATAAAAAGAAAGATGCTTTTCCCCAATCTGACTTTAAAAGAAAAAGCACTTCGGAGTATATATAAAAGGAATTTCCCTTTCTAATTGGAAAAAACTCAATGAAGTTATGAGGAATTTTGAAGTTGATAGACTGTTCATGCAAAGGTAATTCATTTGAATTACCTTTATTTTCAACAGGTTGAGGGAACTTGAAATTTGTTAATGATAATACAGGTGAGAACATTCCAACTAGCAACAGTTTCCTTGTTTGAAACCACTCTTTGGTGCAGGGTTTTCATGCACAGCATGCAAATGCATGTTGTGTTCATAAATCCAATCACAAATGATGGTTTTAGGACCAAACTGTATTTCTTCCAAACAAAGTGGCAGTAATATTTTTAAAAATCTGCAAGCCCTTTGAGAGTCTTCAAAAAGAATTTCATCATCTTTTCTCATTGAAGTGAAGATATTTATAACTGAGAGGATGCTGTATTGCCACTATGGGGAAGAATTGTATTCCTCACCTAAAATATAGCCACCAATAGTGTACATGTTTTGCATTTAGCATTCAAAATATATGGGGAACAAGATCTAAGTAGATGCAGTAGGATCTAGAAATTAGCCTAAGTCAGCTCTGGAGACCAGATTTAGGGAGGATTGTAAATCATACCCTTGGAATGCAACATTACTATTCAGAATACTCTAAAATGTGCTATGGATCAGAAACCTACTTCTTAGCCTACAAGTTGTTTGTTCTCTAGGTTGTGTCAGAACCTCTGTGATTTCATAAAGGTATGCTATTCAGGTTTGAAGGCCATTTTAGGATTTTTCTGTAAATACTGAGTTTCATAGATACAAAGTTCCCTGAGGGTCTATGGGTCTACAACTGTGTTTTCGTGACGATGAAACGTGAAGACTGAGGGATATTCTTTTCCAAGATGCTTTCCTCCCCCTAATTCCTGGTAGAGGATAAGCTTTTAAAAGGTTTTCTTTTTCTTTTTTGTCCTATGAAAAGCCATATTGTACATTCCCAGCATAACTTCTAGGGACATTTATACCATAATTTTGAAGAGCTCATAGTGGTTTCAACACTTCAGCAAAGGGCACAGTGAAACAATATTTTGGAAGACATGTTCATCAATTTATTGACCAGTGTAACCTCTGTCTTCAACAGAGGCCTACGATTTAGATGAGATCTGTTGCAAATGCACTAGTGCTGTGTGCCTCCTCTCTGGGCCTGCTAGAATTGTCAAATAATAATCAAGATTATGGGAGAGTGAGCTCTGATAATGGCCCTGAAATTTCCTTTAAGATGAAGCTTCCTCACATAGACTCTGTGCTCTGCATCCTGAATTCTGTAAGTGGTGCACAGGTGTAATGTTCACTCGCGTGGCAGATGTTTGAATGTCTGAATCTACCTACTCATCTTCTGGAGCAGTGTTCTGTGTTTAAGGGCCACACTGGCAAGAGCGTTCTGTCATTAATTTGTTCAAGAGGTGTTTTCTGAGCATCAGTTGTGGGGCAGGCATGCTCTCATGCTGTGGCTGCCATAGTGACCAAGTCCAAGTCTCCATCCTCATGGGGTGTGTGTGCTTCTAGTGGAAGAGTAAAGCAATACACAGAGAAAGAAACAAATTCAGGAGAGTCATAAGTGCTATGAAGAAAAAGAAATTGGTCGAGGTTTTGCGTTCAGGAGGTGGTCGTGGGAGTTGCCTCAGACTGTACATAACATCTCTACTGTGGTCATATATTTTATTTGAAACTATTTTTTAATTTGGGGCATGCAGGGAATACCGTCTCAATGCTGAAGGGGTCTTCTTGGCCTGTGTTACACATCTGCTTTGGTTTCTGTTGGGAAGTACCATTAGAACCCTCAATATAAACTCCGCATAGGAGGCAATTCCACAGCAGTATTCAGGATGGCAGTGATGCGGCAGGTAGCAGAGCTCTGCAGTCCAAACGTCAATATTCTGCTTAGGCTGTTGATTACATTTGTGAAATGTAAATCTCTGAGCAGTGACTCCTGGGATTGGCTAGAAATACACTTTCAAGATCCTTAGTGAGAAATGTGCCTTTTAAGGATTCTTGAAAAGATCAGGGGAGAATCCCTTCTCTTATTCAATTAATTGATTCTTTTTACAAGGCAGTGAGTCAAAATGCTCAGAATTTTAGGTGGCAGAAATTATCCAAAGGGATTTTCAAAAATATCCCTTTTGTTTACTATGCAAAATAACGGTAAGTAGGAATTAAATAAAACTCACAGTGTTTTCTCAGCTCTGTGTTGCTGAGGTGTCTTTCTCTTCCCACGCCCATCTCTCCATTTTGGGGCATTCAAGTGGCATAATTTGATGACTGTTTGTGGAGGGGCAGTCATCTGCAGCTTGCATGGAAGACAACCATAACATCCAATTATGATTAAAAGATTATTCAATAGAAATATTGTTGTCATATATCCAGACAGAAAACAAGACAGAGGAACTCTGTGGAACATCTCATACTTCCTTTTCTTTCCCTTGCTGCAACTTATTATACAGTTTCTTTTAAGATGAAATGATCAAGGCCCTGTTGTACCAAGCTTAACTATCATTATTGGTAGTAGTTCATCAAGCTCATCTTTTTCCACATGCAAACACACAAGACCTTTGGCCTGTAAGGCAGAACTTTTCAGTGGTTTTAAGATTAAGACTCAGTGAAGGAGCTTCTTACAGCTCTGTTCGGGCTTCACAGATCTTCAGGGACAAAGTTGGCTGTTATTCTGAATCTTTATTCTTGTTTGTGAGTAGAACGTGTCAAAGAATATCAGTATTTGAATCCCCAAAAGTAGAATCACTGACATCAGCTTTTCATCATATGCCCCCAAGTTTTAGAGTGGAGGCTAGAGTCAAGTGCTTATTGCTGTTCATACTGGAGTCATATACGGTCTTGACTGTTGACATGTATATTATTTTCTCTTGTACTGATTTATTTGTCTTCATTGGGGAAAATTATTCTGGCTGATTCCACTTTTACTCCATTTGCATCCTTGTAGGATCAGAGTAAAGTGAGAAGAAAACAGAAATTAAACCAATGGGACCTCCCTGTACAAAACACTGACTAGCATATTGCCATGGGATTTAGGTCTCATATTCTTTAAAGGTGTCCATTGTTTTGCTCTTGTACTTCTATAGTTCAAATCACATTTCATTGAAAAACTATTCATATTACAACTGAGATACTTGAACATTATGATAATTTTTTTAAATCCAGGGAAATTTCCTGATGAATAAATTGGGAAATAAAACAGACTCTTACAAAACAGTTATGCAGTATTGCTATTTTTCTCTTTTTGTTTTACCAGCAGAGGAATGTGAAAAGAAGCTGAATATTTTGATGGGGTCAATCTCAAAATGCTTCTTAAAGATGTAGGGTGGACAGGTGTGGTGGTTCATGCCTGTAATCCCAGCACTTTGGGAGGCCGAGGTGGGCAGATCCCGAGGTCAAGAGATCGAGACATCCTGGCCCACACGGTGAAACCTAGTCTCTACTAAAAATACAAAAATTAGCTGGGCGTGGGTGGCGCATGCCTATTGTCCCAGCTACTCAGGAGGCTGAGGCAGGAGAATCACTTGAACCCGGGAGGCGGAGGTTGCAATGAGCAAAGATCGTGCCTCTGCACTCTAGCCTAGCAACAGAGCGAGACTCCCCATCTCAAAGAAAAAAGATGTAGGGTAACAATACAGGTTATATAGTTTGGAAATCCATTTATCGACTATGAAATTTTAATATTTTTGCCTTTTGTAGAAACATTAACACTCCATGACACACAGTAGAGAGAAGCGGTAAACCTATCCATACTGGGAACTAGGAAGGGGGATTTTAAAAAATATTTCATCCAAGTAAACTGGTATAACATGAAATTGATATGAGATGTAAGTATGGCTATCTAGTATTTTTTTTCTGAAGAATTATTTCATATTAGAAAAAAGAATACTTGTCACATTAATTTCAGTTGTGATCCAAGATTATCAAGTACAAACAATGAGATTGTTCATGCGGGCCAAACAATTTGTTCCTATCTATACTCTTAAGAGAAGAACTGCTCTGCAAGGCTTCAGTATTTTAATCTGGATTTCAGAAACTTATCCTATTAACTTCTATAGATAGAAGTACCCTTTTTGCTTTCTTTTTCTTAGTGAAATTTTTGTTTATATAACTGGGCTCGGATATCGTGGCTGCCTGTTTAAAATGAAATTAAAAAAAAAGAAAGCAGTGCAATTTTTATGTGACTGTATTAGGCCTTAATTCAATTCTGCTTTATTTTAAACAACAGAACTATGAACGTTAGTCAATACATATGATTGCATTATCCTGCGGGGGTTTCAGTAATGTAATAAAATTGAAATAAGTTTTATCTGAAAAAAGAAACATGGGAATTTATAAATTATAAAGCCTAACAGAAAATCCAAAAACAATTAGTGTTGTATAGTTTTTCAACAGGTAGGTAATATAAATGAAACATATATATATTTTTTAAATGAGCCATATATATATAAAAATATGTACACAGGTATTCCACTTGAAGTAGCAGGGGTACCAAACATAAAGATTCAGTCTGAGAAAAAAGGTGTGCAATTTTGAATTGAATGGTCTAAAGAATTCAGACTGAGAACCAACAGCATATTGAATCAGGATTATGGCCCAGATAGGGGCTGGGGAGGTAGGAACTAGAGCCAGAGACCTACATATAAGATGTCAGTGTCAGTAGGGAGGCAAAGTTATAAACCAGCAATTCATGTGGAAATTCAATGAAAAAAAAAATGTCAGCCACGAGATCTCAAGTGGGTCAGGTATCATGAATAAGGGATCATGGATCAAGGGTCCAGTGCAGGAGGTGTACTGTCAACAGAAAAGTTGCAAGAATTGCAAACAAAAAACACCACCAAAACCCCTCCTGTATACCCTATATCCAAGTTCACCATTTTTAAACATTTTGCCACATTTGTTTTATCATTTTTCTCTGTGTGTGTGTGTGTGTGTGTGTGTATATATATATATATAAAACATGTATGTATATAGTTTAGAAATACATACACACCCCACATACACATAGTTTAGAAATACATACACACCCCACATACATATATACATATATATATGTACTCACATATGTACATGTATATGAATATGTGTATACATATATATGTATATATGTATGTGGGGTGGTTGGGGTGTGTGTGTGTGTGTGTGTGCATGTGTGTTTCTAAACTACTTGAAAATAACTTGGAGACATCATACTACCTTCCCCCTAATTATTTCCTAAGAGTAAGAACAAGGACATTCACTTATATAGCCGTAGCACTGTTATTAAGATCAGAACATTAACACTGATTATAATATTATTTTCAAATATACCTACTTTATTCAATTTTCACCAATTGCCATTCTTCAGGGCATGTTTTTCCTGTGCTCTAGGATTCAATTCAAGGTTATGCATTGCATTTAGTTTTCATATCTCTCTGTTCTTCCTCTCTCTTTTTCTGGCAATTTTATTTTAATTAGGGGGAGTAACTTGTAATTTTGATATAATTTGCAACTTCTAGAAAAACACAAAAATATGAAGGACTTCTATATATCCTTTACTCAGATTTACCAATTGTTTATATATTTATACATACACATATGTGTATATGTGTGTATGTATATGCATGTGTGTATATATATGTAAATATGCAGGATGGCGAGGTCAGATGAAATAAGCTAGAACTATGTAAGGCAAAAATCAGAGGCACTTTGTGATCTCTGAATGAATTAACATTTATTAAACTACGTTTTGCATATGGTTTTCAGTACTCTGCCTCTACTTTCATGAAATTCTGTGAATCAAGAAAGCAACTTTATAATGTTGATGGGAACCCAGAGCACAGGCTCTATGGAGAAGCCACAGGGCAGTCTTATGATTCAGCCTCTGCCAACCCAAGGTTCTAAATTTTAGGCTGCAGCAAAGGTAACACAAAGAACATTAGGATGCTGGCACAAAGAAGTCTTTTTGCACTTTTTTTTTTGGTATATTAAAACTTCTCCAGAGTTAATAAATAAATTCATGAAGTCAGAGAGGACACAGAGTCTCCATGTAAAGTAGTTGGGCAAAGATTGAATACTTTTGGGTCTAGTCACAGCCTCAATTAAACTCCAGGAGCCTTAGTTGAAGCAGCCTTCTTGAAGGTCATTTTCTATTGCTGACAATAGATAGGAGTCTGTTGGAATACTGAAGATTCAGCAGATACTGTATTTGGTATGTGCTAATTTACTGGAACTATATGATCTGATCTCATCAAGAAACTTTTGGATTTGTCACCAGGCTGATTCAGATAAGCAAAATTCCCTTCAGCAAGACAAAAGAGGAAGTCATTTATGTAAGCAGAGATTCATTTTAGACTGACTCAGTTTTCTGAGTTGGAGGCTGAGGACTTGAAAGAGGCAGTTTCCACTGAATTCCACAAGCTGAAGCAGACACGAGTGAAAAAGTGACTGGCACATAGTAGGAGCTGAAGTTATTCTTGTTAAAATTATACTGTGATGTTTCATCACCTTTAAGTCTGCTTCCGATTTTTTAAAGAGGCTAATCATGTAAGGATGTGGTGGGATATTAATTGTTTCACTCACTGACTGCTTACCTGTTTTACATTTTCACAGTTTGTGAGGTTGAAGAGAAGAAGTGAAAGGAAATGAGGCCCTAGCCTGCCAATTTTCTATTCATTACCAACCTGGATTTGTGATTTAGTGAGACTTGAGTATTAAACAGTTGTTTGACAATGTCTTGGGTTTAGAGGTGCATTGATTTTTGCAATCCCTGCTCTACCAATACCTTGAATAACAGATAATATGTTTTGTTTGTGGAACTCTGTCACTTTAATTCTCTTAAAATGTTTTGTAATCTGAGCCATTTTTGCTTGCTGGCATTTATTTTTTTCCAAGCATTTCTGTTTTTTAACCCCACTTTTTTTAGGCTCTTGTTATTTATCTTGTAGTTTTCATGAGGCCATCTATTAAGATTTAAGTCAACCATTTCATGAAAGAAAAAAAAAACATGCAAGAAGAAAATACACGTCTACAGAGCCAGGATTGAATCTTCCACCTCTGATATCCCTAAAGCACCTGTAAGTTTTAAGTCCATACTTGTTTATGAATACAAATATAAATCACCAAAGGCCACCCGTAGGGCATGAAAACTACACATCCCTAGGGCAGTCTTGAGTCTTCTCATGATTGACTTGCTCTATTATTTCACATAGAAAACATCTCTAATGTGGAAGAGAAAACTTTGGTTCTATGGAACTGTGCTATCTTTTCATCGGGAGCACTTCTCATACTCAGAGCCAAAGAGAGATTTATATCTAATTCTGGGTGACAAAGGCAAGACTACAGTCACCCAGGGGAAATTAGGCTTAAATCTTCCACTGTTTTTTTCATAAATAGTGAACATGGTCGAAAACACTTAGCTTTTTAAAATGTCAGATGCTATTTCAATGTAAAGGTACATTGGAATGTACCTGTACCTCATGTAAGGAATCCTATAACGATTTTCTAAGTATCCTAAATGCCCCTGCCTAAAAGTCTTACATTTTTAGATTTGATCATGGCCATCAAAGGTTTATCACTAAGCAGAATGCATGACAATGACAAGACCATAGAATATAAAAATATTTCTCAAGTTTAAGCACCCACATTTTATAATTTTAATCAAGGAAATCAAAGTATATTTGAACAATCCATAAAAAGTCATCGTGCAGATGGACTCTTTAAGAAAAGAATCCTCATAATAACTCCATCTGGTGCCAGGGAGTATAATGCAGTTTCAAGCAGCTATCATGAGGATTTCTGGGAAATCTTTTAAGAATTTCTGATCTCGTGACAAATGTGTAATCACTGTCTGTCACCATTTTAGATGTGGGATAACAAATGGGAGCCAGAAATATGAAAGGAAAGGGCCAGAATATGTGTATGAAGCTGTTTGGAAATTGTATGAAGGAACTTATCACCTTGGAAAGAACAGTCATTTCAGAAACTAGAGAGTCATGGTTAGCAATAAAGCAGCGGGATCAATAATGCAACTGCACAGCAACATCACCACCACCACCATCACCACCAAGGAAGATCATACTCACCCCAGGGACAAGATCAGTGTTGAATCTGTGTGTTAGATTGTTGATAGAGCACTCTTGATTAAGGTGGAAAGGGCATGGGACAGTGGCTCCCCTGCCTGAATGAATTGTTCCATTCTAAGAAGTATTTTGCTCACACAGGTGGCATTAAAAAAATAAATAAATAAAATAAATAAATAAATAAATAAAGAAGTAGATACATAGAAAAACAGAGACAGACAGACAGACAGACAGACAGACAGACAGACAGACAGACAGACAGATAGATAGAGCAGGCAGCAGGCATGTGTTGGCTACTAATTTTTCTAGGTCAGATTTACCACCTGGTCTCTGTGCAATAAAAATTTGATCTGCAGGACAGTGGTTGAGCTTTTTTCCTTGGCTTGGTATCAAAAAAGACTGTGTTTAAATAGTTCTTAGAGGTGAATAAATAGTTCCTGTCAAGCGTGTACTTGATTTACAAAAAACTCCATATTTTTCACTCTTACCATCGTAGATAGAAGTATCATTGAGAAAAGAGCATTTGGGAATTTTGGGATTATACTAGCTTGCTTTCTGAATTGTCTTCATTCAGCAGGCAATTCTAATTTTATGTTCTTTTGGAAGGCCTGATTTAAGAATCCAGTTTCCTTCAAAAAAAAAAAAAAACAGAAAACAATTTTAAGATATCTCATGAGAGTTAAACTTTTTATTGGTAATAAAAAAATATATATACAGATACAGAGAGACGGAGAGAAAAATGGAAGAAAGACTTCATCTTTACCAAAATTTATTATCAAATTATGCCTAGCTAATCTACCCATGAAAATATGAGCAGACACATCGTTGGAGAAGTAAAGAAGTTCCTCTGTGAGAGACTTCCTCTATGTTCTTGTGCGTCATGGTCAGAATGCATTTTAAATAATCTTTGAAGTAAAAACACATTTGAAGTAAAAACACAACTTACAATTTAAGTTTCTTCTAAAAGTTCTAGGCAAAAAATATATACATTAGAAAGAGAAGCAAAGTTATCTATATGTACTATAAAAATAAAATTGTGATGTAAATCAAAGACTTTCTTGCATATATGGAAGGATAAACATGTTTAACGTTGTGGTGAAGTATATGCAGGCTTCCTAAACAATGATATTTACAGGTACATTTTTAAATAAAAAATATTTCTTTCTTGCACGTACATTTTTAAATAAATATATTTCTTTATTGAAAAGTGTATTAACACTTTTCAATAAAATTATCTTTGCCAGGCTCTTTTCTTGCTGTGTAGTTTATAATCCAAGATAGAATTGATTTAAACATTCTCACCACAGAATCTACAAGTTTGGTGAATACAATAATGGAAATAGTAAAACAATGTTTTAGGTGAGAAACAGCAGGATTCTGACAGAAAGACTTCCTGTTGATACAGGGTAAT
Organism: Homo sapiens; assembly: GCF_000001405.40. NCBI lineage: Eukaryota > Metazoa > Chordata > Mammalia > Primates > Hominidae > Homo > Homo sapiens. The sequence continues at coordinate 72,434,407 of NC_000013.11, read as the reverse complement.
AATGCAAAGAAGGATTGGTTATCTCATTTTCAATGAAGGAAGGCTTTCATGAAGGAGGCCAAAATCAGCAACATCTTCTATCAGGAAGTGATGAATGCTTTACAACATAAGAGAGATTTTGCAACAGAATTTTTCTTGTGTTTATCTGTTTGATATGGAGATTTATGACTCATAATGATTTAAAAATTGATATTTTCATTCTTTCACCTGATACTTTTAGAAAATAAGAATGTGGTCCCTATCTGACCCCAACCATATCCCTTTAGTTTAATGTTTGTCCCAAAGTTGTGCCTAAGTGTGTTCACCATCCATTCTCAATGTTCAGTCGAGTGCAATAGTAGCAACAACAGCAACATCAGAAATGGATGTGACTAGCACTTGAATTATAAAACATTTCCCCTTATTCTATTTCACATCTTCACAAAACTCTGTGAAGTTGTTAGAGCTGGTATTAGTACTTTTTTCCCCCCAAATATAGAATCTAGATTGAGCAAAAAGGTCAATTAACTTTAACTAAGGTCATAAGATTGATCAATTAGAAAATGGGAGCTGAAGTTCCTAGTTGATTCTCCGATGAAGAAGGGAATATTGGAGTGGGCTGGACCTGGAGTGAGTACTCAGCTTTCCCCTGCCTCATGTTCTAGAATCCTTGAATAATATGACTGCTGAGTTCCTGGTGACTCGGGACATGTCATTGAGAGAACTCACTATGACGGAGACCTCGTCAAGAAATATGTTATTGTGTTGTGTACCTAAATTACCAGATTAGTTACAGAGATTAATTTAGAAAGTGTTCTAATGTACAATTTGTATTCATCGATTTGTATAAATATATCATGTTTGTTTATATGCATTTTTTTGGTCCTGTAAATTAATCTTTGTGTAGATATTCCTGAATTTCAGGAATATGTAGACTCACCCCAAGGTATTCTAAATTTATAAGCTCACCAGATCTTAGATCCAGCCACAACAGAAGTGAAGATTATACTCTCTTAAGTGGAGAGTTGAAGGTATTTACTGGAACATGACTATATACCAGTAAAATGAAATAGGGGGCAATGAAACTCTAAATTTCAACCGGGTAGACGGCTAATAAGGCTCATTTGTATTTAGGAGGTTCTTCCTTACCTCGAAAAAATAAAAAAAAACCCTAATACCTTGAATCTTTACTCTTTTACCCTTTCAGTGTGTCCATGTTTTATATATTTGATATACACAGATATATATTTATATATGCAAATCCTTTCCATATTACTATTTTATAATTTTTCCCAGTGTTCCAGTGCTTCCCTTTAATAATACTTGTTTCCATTCTTTTTAAATTAAAAATATTATACAAGCTAAGCTCACCCTTTCAACTCTTTGATATACGAGAGTTGAGATACCTTTGAATAATTAGGGTACCCATCTCCTCAACATGAGCTGTCATTGAGGATGTCCTAATTTTATATTAACTCTAATTTTAGTTTATCACTTTCCCCTCCAACAAATTATTAAAACATATAAATATTTTACATAATTTTAAGTGGCCCTCCAGTTTACAGTTTATAACAATAATACAATGGAATGTTCCCTCATTCATAACAGTAGAAATTGTCCCATGTTTTCCCATTTAGAAGTAGTTTCTAGTAGTATAAACTGTAATATAAGCGCTGTTATCTGCATTCACTTTAAGAAGAATTACTTGGTAAGTACAAAGTAATTAAGCAATAAGACATGACAGGCATTGCATTTTGGGGAAATTATTATACATCTCAGATGTCTTGAGAGGTTCAGGCCAAAGGCTGAATGGCTTCAACCACCCAAGAAGAATAATAAACCCTCAAGAAATGTACCACCTGTCATATCTTATTGCTATTATGGAATGGAAATCACGAAACCAAAACAGGGGGAAAAGGTTAAATCTGTGCCCTTGCTGAGGATTACTTACATGACTATGACATCACTGACAGTTCTATGTGTGTCCAGAGAATTCTAAAGCCATTGCATAATTATTGTGAAAACAATACAACTCATTTGAAACTGCTGCTTCAGCATTCCACGATGCCATCTTTGTCATATACCAGTCCCCCGATGTCCTCTTTTTGCAGAAATCATATTAGTGCTCTTAATCCCAAGCTTTCCTCTTTCACTGATCATACAGCTTCAGGGGCAGGGGTGGGTAAGCAAGAGGAGGTGGAGATTGTTATGTAGAAATAATCTTGCCCCCTAGAGGATTGGAGGCATTTGGTTCTTTGTATGCCTTGTAACACCCCAAGGTCATTATCTCATGATAATCACATCTCCTGGAGTTGCCTTATTGCTTAAGTGTAACACTAAATTTTAATTACAATGAAATAGAGCCCTTCTGGTAGTTTACACAACATCTTGTGTTCTCATTGCCAGATGGAAATACTGCAGAGCTTTTACTATAATGTCATGTGGTGGTCCTGGACTCCATTACAATAAACACGTATTGAGGAAAGCACTTTGTTTTGTGGGACTAATCCACTTTCTTTTGGAGTATTTCAAGTCAACAGATTACTAAAAGATTTCTGCTTTGTTTAAAAATATTGAAGCACTGTCATACTATTTTTTTCTAATTTGACTGTAATGGATAAACGTCATTAAAAAAATCAAAAAGTGGAGTGCTGCCTACTAACAGACGAGAGATTATTTTACATGCAGGACTTGATTTTTATGGTTTCTCCTTAGTTATTTGTTTTATTTTGAAACTCGGTGCACCTGAATGCACATTTTTTTTAAAGAACCTTGTATTTTCTTCTGAATTTACCACATTTTCCCAAGTGATTACTGTACATTTAGTTCCAGCATTTGGGCAGTTTCTTGGGCTGCCCTGTAATTCTGATTCCTTCATAACCACTAATTTGCTTGTTAGATAAGTGTACAGTCCTAAGAAAGACTTTGAACCAGGCCTGAGAACTATGAGGTAGCTAGAGAGGTGGTACATAGTACCATCTTTAAAGAATGATTATAATAAGAAAAAAGACAACTCTAAACATGAAGTGTGACTACAGTGATCTTTAGAATTCTTTGATATTCTTATTTCTGACAAAAATTCTAGGTTAAACAGTAGGCTTGCCACAAAGATGCAAATTCAACGTTAAGTCTCCCTCCCTCCCTCCCTTCCTTCCTATATTGCTGCTCGAAGCTGCTCCTTTGCTAAAATTCCAGGACTTCTCCTTCATGGGTACTGGAGAGTACAAAATTGGTTTCTACCTTGCCGCTCCTGTCACTCTGGCCCCTTCTCTTCTTACAAAACACCGGGCCTGTCTTCCCTAGGGCCCTGCCTGGAATGCTCTTTTCCCAGATGCCCAGCAAATCCCTCACCTCCTTCAAGCCTCTGCTTACAAGTCACCTGCTCAAGAAGGTGTGCACTGATCATGCTGTTTAAAATTGTAACCTGCTTCCTGTCTCATGTCTAGATCTCCCTTATCTTGTTCTACTTTGTCTTTTTCTATGGCATTTATCATCTTCTAATCTACTATATGACTTATTTATCAGGCTAATATTTATTGATCTCCTCTTGATAGAATCCAAGCTCTCTGAGAGCAGGGATCCTTTGTGGTTTTGTTTACTGATATATCTCAAGTGTCTAGGGCAGTGCTTGGCAGACAGTAACTCTTTGATAAATTACTTTTGAATGAAAGAATAATGAAAGTAGATGTGGAATACCCCGGAGTTTTTGGCAGTCCCTAGGCAGTCACAGAAGGACCTGGGCTGGACTTTTTACTGCTAACACTTTTCTTAATGTGCAGAAAAACCTAAGTATGATCCAGCTCCTTACTTAAAAATACAAAACGCTCAGGCAAGCAGAATCAGAGAGTTTGGATCCTGCATTGGCAAAGTTATTTTAGGAAGAGATTCAATCATTATTTCCTTAATATTTGCTTACCACAAAATACTTTAATATATCCAATGTCATATCTGTAATAATTTTTTACATTCAAGTGTTTATATTATTCCATTCACTTTCCTAAATGCTGGTTATTTTAGCAGATCCTCCTGCACAGTAAAAACATACTACCACAATTCTATCAATTTATGTTTTAATCTGTGATATTATTACAGGCATTTTTGTAAATTTATAACAATTCAATTGCATGCTACTCCACAACTGAACGATATTATTGTATTAAATTATTCACTTTAGATGTCGAAGACAGGGATAGTCACCCAAATATTTATTAAGTTGCCAGTCTGGAAAATAGTATCTTTTCTCCAAAGGTTAAAAATTGTTTTATTCTTACATTGCAGTGTGGATAAAATATTAACAATAAGTAATTCTGAAAGCAATGATTTTAAAAATTAATGGTTTAAAACAAATTAAAGAGACTATACACAATATATTGTGTTAGCATCCACTTCTCTTGAAGGTGAAATTTTAATAGTTTTATTATTGCTGCAATCTTAACAAAACTTAACAAAACTTCTCAAAAGGTTTAGGTCTATGCATTTTTATTTTACAGTATATATAAATATGATTGAAAGCTACATTTTTATATATTAGCATTCTATGCCCATTAGGTTTTGTTTTATTTCATTTTCCATAATTCAACAATATTTGCCACAAGGATAGTTTATAAAGCTTCCAAGATATGGGTCTGTTTTTAACTTTGCTTAGGCCATTCAGTGTTTATGTATATTTAAAATCCTTTTTCACCTTTGAATCTTTTTCCTCCTACTCTATTGTATTACTGCTTTGCTTTGGGATTGGATTTAATCTCACCATGTCTTATCAAAGGCTGCTTAAAATTCTCAATGACTATAGAACAAAATCCAGACTCTTTTCAGGCCTATAATGCTTGATCTATTCTGGCTGATCCTTCCATTTCATTTTGTGGACTATGTCTTGGTCATTAAAACCTCAGTTACACTGGCTTCTAAACATCTAGAACCTTCCAAGCACTTGCTGTTTCCTCAGCATGAAACAGCTTGCTTCTAGTTTTCAGATAATCAGCTAGCTGCTTCTCCTGCATCTTAGCTTGAATATCTTCTCAGAGAAACCTGTCCTAACCAGTATGTTTCATTATAACACCTGGTTTATTTTATGCATTGCTTATTCCAGTCTGTAATTATTTTATATATTTTTTTTGTTCATTGTTATTCTCTCCCATCATAACGTAAGCTACTTGAAGGTAGGGCCCTTATCTCTCTTGCTGACCACTGTTTCTCCAGCAACTTGTACATATCAGGAATTCAATGTTTGCTGAATGGATGGATGGATGAATGAATGAATAACAAAATTAAAAGTTGGGATATATATATATATATATATATATATATATATATATATATATATCTACTGTTATAAAATTTCCTGATATCTCACTAATAGTAACTTTATTTCTCTCCAGGATCATTTTTTGGATTTAAAACTAGAGAAGGACAGAAAGCTTTGTAATAAATGTCTGTTGAAATTAGGGGTTTAAGATTTACAAGGATTTTTTTTCATTAGTACTCTCTAATCCCCTCCTGGAGGTCACATTTTTCCTGTATTTTCTCATCCCACACAGTAGGGTTAAAATTTGTGCTTTTAAATGCTCTATATTAATTTCACTGATAATCATATTTCTATATACTTTGGTTTATATAAGACCAATGGAAGATTTTAAGGGGTGTTTAAGAAATTGTCTCCCAGCCATTCCTTTATTCACTACACAGTAGGCACTATGCAAAGAGACTCTCAGATGTTTAGTTACACTGAGAAATTATTTTGATTCTTACCCAGCTTGAAAGTCCTTAATATTTTCTTTAAAGTTATTTATACCATGAGAACCCAAATTATCACGCTGTCTGACACCATAAAATTTGATCGAGCTTTTATTTTTTCTAATTGGCCATATGAAATAATACAGGGCATGTAGGATGCCTCAAATTTATTGTTACTTCCTTGGTAGTTCAATACCAACTAGACTTAGCATGACCAAGTAAAAATATAAAGAAAACATTCAGCATCATTTTGTAATTGTCTGGAAACAGGAAGCCAAACTATTATCTATAGCACAGGGCAATCCCATTGTGGAAATTTCACCCTGACCGTACCCTCTTATCTTGTTCTTCTCTTACACACAGGTCATATTATGCACTGCTTTGTGCTAGTTTGACAAGAACTAATGTGGATGCTTAAATATTTTAAAGGCTGAACGCTTCTGAATGATAAAATACGGAGCTGATCAACTCTTCGTGTTGCGTTTGTGGTTAATGATAAAGTAATTTAATACTTCTCTCTTTTTTGGTCTGTTAGTAGTTTCAACAACAAACACTAAAGTTCCTTTAAGGAAAAATCTTCAAATAAGGCCATGCAATGACACTTTTTAACTACAGTTGTTTTTTATTCAGCCATAAAATCTATCTTTCATAAAGAAACCCACTTACATGTCTTACTTCAGTGAAGGTTATTTGTAGACTGAAGGTCTTTTCTTGTCAAGATATGATGAATACCATGTGTGAAGACAGAAGAGCATCAGACCTGTATTAGCTGGAAAACCCACTGATCTGTGAATAACCTAAAAAAGAAAACCTGAAGATTAGCAACGTCGCTTTTAAGAATGATCCATCAAATTCAACAAGCAGATTCACAGAGATGAATCATCTGGTTTCTTTTATACCTACTATACAGTAAAGGTTATTTCCTTTCTCTACAAATAGAAGTTTGAAAATAAAGGGAGGCTTTTAAACACCCCTTGGTATAAGTCAATAGTCTTAAAGTGTTTCTGATATTTTAGATATAAATCCTTACTAATGACAATTAAAATGGTGTTGCCTGTTCATTCAGTATTGGATTCAATATTTTAGGGAATCAGTCTCTGTTCTTCTGTTAGTGTGTATTGAAGGGAGACCAAATTCTCAGTATATTGCCTCAAAATTTTTTACACTAACTTTTAATTTTATGAGAAGTTAAAATATCTGTTGAAATTATTTTTAGGAGTTGCCTAGGTAGCTTACATAGTCAGTTACCATGTAGATAAATACAAATAATTAGGAAAGTTTCTATTCTGAATGCCAAGTCAATTGATTAAAAGCATAGAAGGTTTAGGGTAAATAAAAATCATTATATAGAGGTATAATTTTGTTAACAGTAAGTGCTTTGTTTCTATTTTTAAAATTTTAAAATAGATCAAAAAGTGTACGTTTAAAATATACATTGCATAGTATAATTTTTCTCAGTTCTAATGTATTGTGTTTGTAGTGGTTTCATTCATTTCTTTTCACATTGTATGGATCAAATAACTTAAAAACAGAAAGCACTAAAGAGGAATCACCTTAAGGATTTTTCAAATTTCTTTTATATCAGTGTTTTTATTAAACATGTCCTAATACAATTGAAGTGAAATTTATTTTATTTTTTTATTGATGTATACCAATATTAGACAACAAAAATAAGTACTTACACTGTAATACAGCTACTGAAACTGAATTTTTGTGCCTTATTTCCTAAGGAAGACTTCTGGCAGTGTACATACTTTAGTAAATCAAATTAGACATTGGGTGATTTTTTTGTTGTTGTTAAGCTAGCAGTAATTGAGATTTCATGGTGTTTTTTTTTAATTTCTTTTTAAAGATAGGTTTAACACAAAGGATAAATGCTTGAGGGGATGGATACCCCATTTTACATGATGTGATTATTATGCATTACATGTCTGTATCTCACGTGCCCTATATACACCTATGTAGCCACAAAAATTAAAAAACATATATATTTCATTTTGGAGGATGTCTTTTGGAGAATTTTTAACCATGCCTATTAAAATAATTAGTTTCTAACATGCCAACCTAATGAAAAATAATTTTTATAGTGATTGAATGACAAACTTTCTTTGTGTTTAGGCAATTAATAATCATTCATGCTTTGATATGAAACATTCTGATAATGTTATTTATAACCATTTACATTATGTAAATTAAATAGGAAAATAGAAACACCATGCTTTCAAGAGTGAGTTATAGTTCCATGAACAAGAAGTTTGCTGTTAGAAAAATTTTACTGTTTGGAACCACTCTAGGGCATTCAAAGACTTCATTTCTCATCACATTATCTTAGGGTAATGAAGAAATAAGGAAGAGCTAAAAATCCTTATCCAAAGACTTAAATTGATTTTGTTTTAGATGAAATTTGAGGGCATGTTTTATAGAATTACATTCTTTCTAAAAGTCAGATATTAAATATTTTAGAAAACAGATTAAGCCCTGAACTTTTTAAAATTCCATTTTTTAATGAGTTTCTAAAACTGAGAACAGCAGTCTCAGTTCAAAGAGTAAGAAAATAAAACTCCTCTGATTATTAGAAGCTTAAACACTGCAAGAGGCCTTGAAGCTTTTGTCCCACCTACTAGAACAGCCATAAATCACAGGTGAACACGGAGCAAGAACCGTCAGCGATGCTTAGATATAGAGCTGTGGCAAAGTGAAAAACATGGAATTTTAGAATTTAGCACCTAAGGCCCAGCTAAATATTATTGATTTTAACTTTAGCTAAAATCGTCACCTGTTCAATTTAATAATCCTTTCTGCGGATGATAAAGCAAACTTTAACTAAATAAAACATGGCTTTAAATAGATGTGGCATTTATGACAACCAAAGAGTGAAACAATTTTATTAAGTGGTAATGTTCATGGGGCTGCAGCAATAAACAACATATGCAGTTGATTAAATCCAGGAGGGAGTTGAGGGTGAAATCCTCCTTTTGGGAATATTTGTCCACAGACCCTTCCCATTCTCTCTTCTGATGGTGCAAATAAGATGGGACAGCGGGGCAACTTCAGACATTTGCTTTTTTGGACAACTTTAGACATTTTTCCCTCCTCTGTTCTGTGTGGTGGCTATGTTTAGCCATTGGCTGAACTTAAGACAGAGTTTTAGATTAGAAAATGACCATTCCTTTTCATTCAAGACTGAAAATTTGCTTGTCTATGTCAGTGACCATTGAGGAATTATTCTCTTATTTCTTAGATTGTATTAGGGATTCTTATTATTGTCCTCCAAAAGTAGGTCAGTTTTTAATGTCAGTTTGTTTCCAAAAAACAACTTGCGTGATCAGGGGAAGTAACTGATTTGGAAATGTATGAATAATTGAATCCAATTCCAGAAAGAAATCTAGACTATCGTCAATAGCAGAAAGAAAGAAAAGGAACCGAATAGAATTTAGCATCAAAGCACTATATTCTGATGTAGTTGCAGAAGGATATAGCAATGAGAAGAAAATGATTAAAGAGAGATGTTTAAGATCTCCCTCTAAACTTTACTTTTGGAAACTTGGATATATAATATGTTGCATATGAATGTGTATTTCATGATTCAATTTTTGCTTCAAAAATGTATACGTACTATACACATATATGTCTATATGAGCACAAAATATATTGGGAAAATTGGAAGGATATACACTAAAAGTAGACACCGGCCAGTTTTCATTTAAATTTTAAATAATGTAAATGACTGAGTTATGGCTAATTTTTATACATGTGTGTTTTTCTATATACATTAAAAACCCACAGAAAGAAAAACCTTTTGGATTTTTCCACTGCAACCACCACTAAAGTGTATAAAATTTGAATATATTTTCATACAAATAAAAGTAAAAGGCAAAATTTAAAAATGAAACATTTTATATATTTTTTAAAATTTCTTTTATTATAGCTATTTAAAATTATTGATTACATTAAAAATAAGACTACAAGTTATTAAGGGATATCAGTAAGTCCAAAGCTTTTTAACACAGCTGAAAATGTTCAATTTATTATTTTAAAAAATTAATTTAAAATTTTTTGTGCAAATAAAGTGATTCTAGTGTTCAATGACCATCTAACTGGTAATGTGTAATATTGCTATTACGTTTTATGTGAGTTCATCTAGACCTACATATATATAAAATTAAGAGCAATATGAATTTCTTAATATGGTGAAATATTTTTCAGCTGCCATTTGCAACTATTGCAAATACTGTGCTAATTCATGAAATTCATTAACTTTAATACAAAAAGAAACTAGAAAATGGCTGATGGGCACTACTAGGAAATAATGTTTACAATGCGAGTGTTGGTTGTATCCCTATTGTCTGAGAGGAACAGTTCAAATTAATATAAATCTCAGGAATCTAAGTGCTTCTTCTGCAGGTTACAGCACAACCTACAAACACTGAGGGAGGGCGCTGTAACACAATTGTCTTTTGTTTTGAAGACATTGGGCAAAGCAACACAAAGAAGCATTTCTCTGGGGTCCCAGCCATATTAGATAAGATGGAGTTGTGCTGAGTCAATTAGCCTATAATGATGGAGGTACCTATGTATTTTAAAAACACATTTAATTTCTCATGTGTGTTTATGATATGTGGGACCACATACAGCATGAGGTCCAGGGTAACTTGTCTATGGAGGTACTATCTGTTGCCTATTTCAAATCCATAAATATTTATTGGGCACCTGCTATGTCCAAGACACTAAGCTGTAGAGAAAACATAAGAACATAATCCAAATTATACCCATATTGGACAGATTTTTTTAACATCTTAGGGATGATGTGAGTTAAGAAGTAAGTACTTGCATAAATTGCACCAGTAGCAGGCTAACTTGGAAGAGGGACTGTATGAAAGAGCCAAAGACTAAGATTGCTAAATGAAGAGTACGGATTTTGGGGTGTGTGTGTAATGGACCAATGTGTTAGGCTAAGATATTTGCATTTTGTTCTATATGTTGTGGGGAAGTATAGTAAGTTTTTGAGTCCAGAGATAGGGCATAATCAGTGGACCAGTTTATATACTTAATTGAAATGTTTCTGCTTGTTTAAATAATACTTATATAGTAATGGGGTTGTCAAAACATAGAATATGGATGGACTTTGACGAAATTAAATATTTAGCGGTCACAAGTCCCTGTCTAACGCCATACTGATTTAAGTATAGGCATTTCCCAGAACAAAAGATGGATTATAAAAGTCAGATATTTTATTCCTTAATTGCTTAGAAGCTAGTCTCCGGTTACAGGTTTGAGCTTTAGCTGAGGTAAGAGTGTTTCAGCAAAAGTTAAATTTAATAGAATGCATTAATTCTTCCCTATAACAACTAGAACCTAGCACACATTTTAGAATGCACTTACAGCATGTTAAAAGGGCAGACATTTATAAGGATATAACAAACCACCCTGCTAAGTTTTAGCTAGAAAATAGGACTATCTGTTTCTGTATTGTAAAATAATTGACTTAGCTTTTTTCAAAGAATAGATGGCATGTGCACTTATAAAGTCACCAGTTTTATGGAGAAAATTTCAAAACGTGTTGGCTATTGCTAATTGAGTCATATTTATATTCAATTCTTTGGCAAGTTTTATTTTTGGAGTAGGAAAGAGAAGATGGAATTCTGGCAAGAATTATTTATATTTTCTTCTATGAGAAGCATTAAATCCTAGGTTAAAACTATTAGATAATAAAAACAGAAAGAAAAATAGACACCCACATCTAAATAGTGCAAAATAAGAAACTAGACAAGCTTAGATAAAAGAATATGAGGTATGATTTTGCTTATTTTGGATTGAAAGCAAGCTAGTTGTTTTCTTTATATGTTCAAGCAGTACCCAGATAGTTGCAAACACTTGTCACTCCTTCAGCTTACCTTCGGTATTGAAGCTAGCTAGCTGACTTGTGGATACTTCACATAAACTACCATTTAGAATATTCTAACACAGGAATTTGGAGACAAAGAGTCCTCTCAGATGGGAATGAGAGACACTGGGATTAAGCAGTTTTGGACTCTGTGGCAATAGTCCTCCCCAAATTCATTGAAATGATTTTGCTCTGCACTGCAAATGTCTTTTCATCCTCTGTGAGAGAGAAAATTCTCCTATGGAGTGTGGGTCGAGTCATGAGTTTAATCTTGTATGTGAATTGAAGAAGACTTAGTAGGGACCTTTGTGATGTATCTTACTAAACTAAGGGGGTAGAAGCATATGACAATAATAAATATTATATGATACATAATAATACTTTAATATGATTTTAGTAATCTGCTTTCTCTGCAGCGCTTGCCATTTTAGGTGAACTTTCACTGCTCTGCCCCTTGTTTTTCTTTAAAAGGATTCTTTTTCTTAATTGCTTATTGCTGTGGTATTTAGCCCCTTGTCATAGCTCTTTAAAGTATATAAAACTGTATTGCATTCAGAACCAGGCAATATTAAATAAGATCCAGACCTCAGCAAATCAGAGAACTAATTAGGAATTTATCTAATTCTATGAAGAAAACCATCTTATTTTATTATTCTCATTAAGTGAATAATTATTCTTTAAAACTTTTAAGGCATTCATAAACACAGAAACAGTGGAACTTTAAGTAATGATCACATTGATTATATTGTTTCTCAAATTTCTGTCCAAATAAAAATTTAAGAATCATTTTGTAAATATTCTAGATAAAGTAATTACATAATATAAGGAAAAGAGACATTGACTTTGGGCAGTCATATATCATATATACTGATTCATCTTGGATACATGTGTTACCAAAAATCATTTAAAATCTAGTTCGTGTAACATAGCCTAAAATGGAACCTATATAAAGCATTAAATAAGTGGTTAATGTTAAAGTCCCATTTATAACCAAGCACTATATTATAAATCATCTACCCCTAATTATAAATCAGTTGATATAATCACTGGTTAATTAACAATTGATATAATAACATATAATCTGGTTCTTACTCTGCTCTCATAATTCATGACCATCTAGACATGCCATTATAAACATGCCAAACTTAAGACAACAATGAACTGAGTTCAAACCAGCTTGGAGAGGATCAAGGACTGATACAAGACTGCACTACTGTATCATCAGAGATCTTAAAAAGTAATTGAAAACACTTGCCACGTCTCGATACCGTGGAGGTATACTGACTGACAGATTCTATAGCAATCACCGGAGAACTAAAGTAGGAAAGGCCAAGGTATCCCTTAGGAGACAAAGATTTTTTAGATGTTACGCATAAAACATCAAGGTAAGGCAAGCAAGCATGTGGCTTTGAAGCATGGTTTTTCTCCCTCAGTTACCCTGCTGTTTCCATAGTGGTATCACCAAAAGTCCTTACAATTATTGAGAAGGTTCCATAAAGTTTTGAATGTAGGAGATCTCCAAGCCATAAGTCACTGATATATCTACAACTCCTAACTCTAAGATGCAAAAATGCTATTAACAATAGTAAATTAGAGTGGGGGATCATAGGTAATGTAGGAGGAAGGAATGACTTCTGAAGAAGCTTATGCAACAAAGTTAAACATTAATTCATTGATAGATTAGTGGTAATAGAGACAGAACAATCAATCAGTCAGCAATCTGTTGGTCAGTGGCATGGTGGTTTATTCTGTACGTGTACATGATCCTTTCTGTTTCCACCTCATTCATCTAGCACACAAATCCCACATGTTTTCAATATATCATTCTTCAATGATACATCTGAGAGATTAGAGCCCTTCTACTCTATACTACTGTTTGTTCAGCATGTTGGCTATTTTATTGAACAAGAGTTCAATAAATTTGTAATATATCTGGTCTTTTTTCTGTTTTCATTTTTTTCTTTCTATATTGTAAGTTTCATAAAGGCAGAAAAAACCTCTACTATCAAGGATGGCATTAAATAAATAACTTTATTCATTTGATTTTTGAGATAAACTCATTTTATAATTACTATTGGTGATATATCCCTGAGATGACATTTATATCCTTTTCTGAAAAATATATATGCTATTTTCTAATGGTTTATGGAAAAGTATATTTTATACTGTCTTGGAGGGATTTTTGTTTCAGTTAACAACTCTCAGAAAATTATCATAGTTTGTAGAAATTTATACTTTAGTCTTTCCCTCCCTCCCTCCCTCCTTTCCTCTTCTTTTTTTTTTTGCTAATTTTTACTAGAAAGGGAAGTCAGATTTTACTTTTCTTTATAACACTTTAGAAACTTCTTTGAGGTAATACAGCTGTTTGTTTTGGAGATCCAAATGAATAATTCTGTGAAATATAGACTAGAGGACTATATTGGATTTTCAATTTCTCTGTCAGAAACTTTCTAAGATTCTCAGGAAGAAATAGAAGGACAAAGGTGCTATAAAAAGTTAGTCTAGAGTGGTCTGAATGGACCTGGTCCAAATGGGAAAGGCTTAAAGTGGTTCTATTGTGTCAAATAAGCATTTGAGCTTTTTTTTTTTCCAAGGATAAAATGTTAAATTTTTTCCAAGCCTGAAATTAGTTGAAATTCTCCTCTTCTTCCATAATTAAGTAATAATATGTGACAAAGCATGAGTTATTACATAATAATTCATACCTTTTGCTTTGCTAAGAATGAGGCCATAGGATGAGTGCTTGTTTAAATGCACAAGGTATGAGTTATTATATCATAATTCACACCTTGAAATGCCATATTGTGATTATAAAATGGCCCTGTGCAAATATTATTAATTTTTTAAAGTTCAGAAATAAATTATTAAAAATAACACATTATGACTTCAAAAGAATCTCTGTAATGTGAATTCATTAAAAATGGAATAAAAAATTAGTGTACACTGAACTGGAATTATATATAACCTTTCTTGATGAACTATTTTCATTGACATACTGTTGTGAAGCATACATTCTATAATTTGCAGCTGTTGTGTAGATGTTTCCTTCCTTGAACACTCCAACACGTAATGTATTCTGGATTTTTTTTTTTTCTCTCAAGGACACAACTTAACAGCAGCTGTAAGTCAGAGTCTTTGCAGTCAGGTTCAGTACTGTTTGTTTATCAGGGTTGCACATACAAATCATAAAGGGCAATTCTCTTCATTGGACTGCTGGCCACTACTCTTTAAAGCTCGGTCCTTCACTGGGTTCTAGAACAAAGACCTTTGCTGGTCTCTCTCTACTTCCCTTTTTCCCATGTCTTTTACCAGTTTATCTTCATCTTCCTCCCCATTGGCTATGGGTGCTCTCCAAAATTCTTGCCACACTTTTATTTTCTTTTATGTTTGGTCTTACTTCACTAAGACATTATCAATTTCAATGATTCACTCTCTGCAGGTAACCCCATAATACTGCTCTATTTCCAAAATTTCACTCAGACTCCAAATTACTAGTATTTCTTGTTATTATTTTATTTATTTCAGTGAATATTCCAAACCTTAGAATTCTCAGTCTCTCAGGTTAGACGTCCTTCAGTCATGGTTTATTCTTTGTATCTTTTTGATCCAACTATTGCACACCTACTTTGTGCTAGCTACTTAGCGAGGAATAATTCAAGGTGACTGTCAAGAACTTTATTGTCATAAAAGAACCAATTATGCAAATAAGTAAATTTAATATGAGGAAGAATGTGATATGCATAATAGACAAATGAGCACATTTGACTGCCTCCACCTGAAGTTATTATGAAAAGCTTCATGGAGAAGAGATACTTGAGGTGGTTTTGAAGATGAATGAAGTTTCCAAAAGTAGGTGGTTCATTTCAGGGTAATCAAAATCACAAAGACCTGTAGGAAAGGATGCAGAAAGTCTTCACTGTATTAGAATTTTACAAAACTATGTCAGTTCTGTAAAAATGTTTGCATAGTAATAATAATAAATTTGAAATATGAAATCATTGCCCTTTATTCAGTCAGCCAGTCTCATATGTTTATCGCATATTTCATTTATTGCATATGTTTCACACTTTTCTCTTGAATGTTCTATTTATGTGACTTTAACTGTAACTTAGAAACTCACGATTTTATTCTGAATTACTATAGCACACTTTTATCTGGTCTCATCCAAACTATTCTTTTTCTATTCTATTCTGTACTCTGCTACCAGATTAAGCTTCCTAAAATTCAGATTTCCTAAAATTAAGCTTCCTAAAATTCTATTTTTCCTCTGATCATGAGATTTTAGTATCTTCCTATCACCTCCCAGTTCAAAGTTCTGTGCCCAACCAGCATGAGCACAGATGTTCCAGATCTTCCAACATCTATCTTATCTCACCTCTCCACCCGTATTTCCCATGACTTACCAAAATGCTGGCCTCATAGTCTTCTGCACAAATGCCCTCCTGCTTTTATTTACAAATTCTGTTAATTATTCTTCAAGTCATCTCTATACGCCCTCTACTCTTCCTTAAGTTCCAGCTGAATTTGCACCTTCTCTATGAAATGATCTTCAATTCTCACAAACCCCATCTTGTTCTTCCATATGAATTCCCAAATTTCTATCATACCTAATATTAGTATGACTTATTATATCATTCAATGGCAATTAGTTTAAAACAGCTAGTAAATTTAAAACACTGCAGGGGTAAAGGAAAGAAGAAAGGGAGAAGGACAAAAATATTATGCCTTTCTTTTGTATTACATGTGCTTAGCATTTCCAAACACCTAAGTCTTGGTCCTTAAGGAGTTTCAATCTAGACATGAAGAGTCAATGTACAAATCTGTGATGCAAAGGAGATAATGCTAAATGCAGCCTACAGGTCACAGAGTGGTGCTATCATGGAGAAAGGACACCATGATTCTTACTGGTGCAACTAGGAATGGCTTCAGAGAGTAACATGAACTGGGAGGAAGAACAGACCTTGGAATGTGCAGAAAGGGGTATATAATATGATAATATTTTATCATATTACTTATGATATTGCTTATCTAGGCATGGGCAATATAATAAGTAAATATGAAGAGCTAGAAAAATATGGGAGATATTTGGAGAAGAGTGATTAGTCTCATTTGGCTAGATCATTGTTTAATCTATCATTGAGTTCTAATTGCATCATCAGATTGTTCCCTTATAGCTACATTAAAAGCCTCTAGAAACATAAAATGTGACCTCACTTTTAAAAAATGGCCTATTGAATATAGTACAGGCTAAGGCCATAATAGTCACTCAATAAATACATATTTAATTAGTGTAATTTTATTAACCCACAACAATTTTCTAAATAATATTTACATTTATGTATCACTTTTATTCTTCAGATCTTTATGAGGAGTCATCTTCCCATTTGATCTTTCAAAGGGAATCTTTTTAGATTGGGAGTTGGGAATCTTTTTAGATTTACAGAGTGTTTAAATACTGAGTTAGATGGGTAATAATTAGAATTTAATGCTTCAAGTGAAGACAGCTTTTATGTTTCATAATTCTCCAATACTCTGATTTCTTAGACTTCTGATACTTCATGGCTACAGATTATTTTGCATTTATTTTTGTTTAGTTAATAATGACCTAGAGCCTATTTTATGGCAAGTGCTGGAAAGGGGTTGGGAGATCTAGGGGAAACCAAATCCTAGAATGATTAGTGCTGGTGTAAAACCTCAGAAGGAGAAAATGGTTTGTTCACTAGGTGAGAATGTGCATTGGGAATTAGTAAGAACTAAGGAAGCAATACATTACATGAAACAGGCTTCTTAAAGTTTAGTCCAGTCCTATTCAATATATATAATGTTAAAAATCAACTGGGTGCCAGCCACTGTGATACATAAGGCTAACCTAAACAATTCACAGACTGGAAAGGACCTACCAGTAAGACAGCAAGTCTCTCAGTGCAGACTTGGAACTGTGCTTGCCAGGTTTAATCCTACTTCTTGTTGTAAATAAGACCAAAGTTTCCCTAGATATTAAAAAAGGTATATATTAAAGATGATTTTCTAGCTCTATACAAGGACAAAAAAGTAAACCTTTATAACCTATGACATGTTTCAGCTGGGTTTACTGTGCTATTATTGGAATCAGTTGAGATTCATCATTATAATTGGACTCCTGTAACAGTCATCTACAGCTTTCAAAATACATAAAATACACAATTTTGTGTGCATAAATTAACTGCTTCATTATCAAACGTTGGCCAGATAGCAGAAGACAAAGTCAGTCAATGACATGGAAAAAAAAATATCCCTGATTCTTGGAACTACATTTATGGCTTAGTGAAATGTACTAACAACACTTTGTTTATTTCAGCTACTAAAAGTAGGTCCTTGCTGAATTACTTTTCCTGCCTTTAAACTCTTTCTGTAGATAAGATGATGGAGGAAGGGCAAGAGAAAATCAAAAAACAAACTTAATAACACCATACCTTCGAAGCAGCTTGATTTATAATGAGTTTGTGGGAACATTCTGAACCTATTTCATGTTGAATTACAGTCCACCTTTACAAGTGGCTGCTAAAGAAGGAGTTCATGAACATACTCCTCTTACTACTTCAATCGTCTTCCTGCTCAGCCACTAAAATTTTAAATGCGATACAAACAAAATGCATCTATAAATTTGTATAGTAACTACACAAACAAATGCAACCTCATTCTTAGTAACCATAAAATTACCTTCTGTTATCTATCACTTTGTGAATTATAGTTTCATCGCTTGGAACAGCTAACAGCACAGAATTACACTGCTTCTCTTCTTACCCCTGTGTCATTACTGTTCTTCTGGCTAAAGCAGCAATCAATAGTCTCGTGGATAAACAAATGATTAAAGGCCAAGATGAACTACTGCAAATAAGAATCACATTATCTATCTTTGCACTGAATATAATTTAAAAAAACCAGTGTCTTCTTTTGGACACCTGGCTTCAATCATAATCTATTCAAAGTCCTTTTGTTTCTCTGATTCACATTCTTAAAAATCTTTAGAAAGAGCACGTTTGTAAACAGGTACAAAGTAAACAATGAAAGGTAGATTTAGGTGGGTTTCTTATTGTTGAATACACATAACTACATAATGAGGCCTCGAAATTTTAGCTTCAAAGTTATTAGAATTGTAAAGCCTTTTCTTAGTGCTAGTTCAACATCCAAACTGTGTTATTGGTTAGGTAAATATGAGATTTTGCCAAGTTTTATGTTGGGTAACTGTACAACAATGTGGTTCAAGTGAAAGATGAAGACATGTTTTTCATCTCTAATTTCTTATAAATATAAACAAATTTTCCTTAAGTTATGAGCTATGCAAGATTCACTTTTCATTTCTTAGATGAGAAAAATAAATATGAGAGTAGAAATATATTCCCAATGTATTTTCTGCATAGAGATTCTAACTATAAGGCTAAACTATTGTGACTTTATTTTTAATTTGTTGATATATTGCTATTTAGTAATATTCAATTAAAAGGTAATCAGTGTGATTGATGGTCATTTTACTTATACCTTATTTTAGTTTGAGTAATTTTCTTATGCTATAGTAAATATGTTTTATTAAACTCTAATCATAACATTGAACTAGATCCATTTTTGATTATTATTTAGTCATACTGGTGGCTTTAAGTGAAGACATTTTAGAAATGCAATAAAATTACAGAAACTAGAATTTGAATACAAGCTTGACAACGAAGAGCAAGGAAGTCTTTCAGGAACCAGATTAAAACGGCAGAAAGGGAAAGATATCAGATAAGAGATAAAGCATATATAGAATCAATATGTGGGCCAACATTCAACTAGTAGCACCATCAAAGATATAATCAAAGACAATTTTCTTCAACAGAAAGATCAATGTCCAGCACAATGTGCAAAACAAAACAAAAACTAGACCACCAATGTGAAGTCCTCAGAACACCAAGGATACTCTAAAAGCTCCTAAAAAGAAACAAATATAAATAAAGCAACAAACACCAGATTAATCTTGATGGGGTTCAGGACACAGTACCCCAAAATATGGTGACACACTGTGCCAAAATATGGCACCTTGGCATGTTGAAGAATTTAGACTGAGGAATTAAGCAAACTGCAGAACAAAGGTCACTCTTATCTTCCCCTACCCATGTCACATAAAGTAATTCATAAAGCCAAAAAGGATTTTCTGACTTTCCCCTTAAGCAGATCAGAAGACCTTCATGTGTGAGGTCCCCTCCTTATATCTGGAGGAAAGAAGCAGCCTTGTCTCCAAAGACACAGAGATGCCAAGAAGAGTCTGGACAAACAGGCCTTGCTAAATTTCCTCATTTATTTCCATTGCATTATACTCTCTTGCCCTATCAAGTTTTGCACCCACTCTCCATTCTTCAGTAAATCTATTATAAAATACACCCAAGTTTAACTGATTCTTTAGGTCTTCATTTCTTTTCAAAGGTTCCCATGTAATGTAAACTTCTATGGAAATAAATTTCTATGCTTTTCTTGTTAATCTGTTTTCTTGTTCATGTCTTCTGTTAGGGAACCCCAGCCAATGAACCTAAAACGGGAGGAAGAAAAAGATGTATTTCCTCCGCTACAGCATCAACTGCACATCTGTATAATTGGATGCTAGAAATTAATAGAGCACTATCTTTGAAGGTTTGAGAAATAATCATTTTAATCTACAATTACATATCCAGCTAATCTCTCCATCAAATTTGAAATTAGAAGATAAATATTTTCATTTATCTTTAGCTCTCTTTCTTTGGAAGATTTAGCTCTCTTTCTTTGGAAGCTACTTCAGGATAGATTCTGAACTTTTCAACCAAAAAAGAGAAAGAAATAGAATCCAGAGACTGTGGAAGAATTGACCCAAGGTATCAGTGGTGCAGCAGATCTGGAGAGCAACGAGTCTAGATGAGAACGGGACTCGGGAGGAGGTTCTGGAAGACGAGTTTCTGGGATGAAGCGGGAATCTCAGAGATTCAATATTTTTTTGAGATTTTGAAACGGTTTAAGAAAGCAATAAAGGAAAGCAATACAAGAAAAAAATTTCACGGAAAAAAACCTAAGGAAAACCCAACAAAATGATAAATCTGTGCATAATGTAATTATATTACACTAGTGGTTATTCAGTACATAATTTTCACACAGTCATAACAGTGAAGCATTGTCATTTTATACAAGAAATGCTGAGAAACATAATTATGCATTACAGTACAGAACATAAATGCCATTACTCTTATTAAAGGGAAAGCAAGCATGGCTGAATTTGGGATTGAAAGAAGAAAAGGAAAGTTACAGGTAAAGAAAGAGGGTTTGGCATCCTTATTGTTCTCTGAATTAAGTCAGGAAAATGATCTGATGAAACAAGTAAAGCTATCTGCATATTATTTAAAGTCATAAAAGTTACCAATAGATTAAATATTAGTGATATGGGAAAAGGAATGTAGGAGTGGTATAAAGTGGTTAAATATACCTCAATTATAGAAGAAAGAAATATTCTTCATTACCAAATACATACCTGTTGACTGAAGGAAGAAAGGAACAAGGAAAGATAACTTGGCAGTGGAATTTGTAGTCTGCAAATGATATTGGCATGCAAGATTTTTACCCTCTACCAACAATTGACTGCCTATTCCATGCCAAACACTGTGCTAGCTGTTGGAGAAATATAGATAAATGACTTAATAGAGAATGCAATAAAATATGAGAAAAAGACATGTTTAATAATTGCAGTCAACATTATGAATAACATAATGGCAATCTGTATCCATTCCTGTGAGACTACAACGGGTGGAGTGAGTAACTGTGCCTTGTGGGGACCAATTGGTTAAAGTTGTCTATAGCAGTAAACCTTAAATAGAATCATTAAGATCATCCATGTAAGTTAATCATAAAATCATGGTGTGGTTGGTGAGGGTGGAGTTCAGGGATGGCACTCCAAGTATAGAAAACAGCATGTAGGGTACAGCCTGGAGTTCTCATAGTTTGAAGTGTCCACAATTAGTCAGCCATGGAAATTAAAGTGCAATAAGAAATATTAGGTTGGTGCAAAAGTAACAGTGGCTTTGCAATTTTAATGGCAAAACTGCCATTACTTTTGCACTGACCTAATAATTGCACAATGTAAGTCAACAGTAATTGAAGGTCATGTTTTGAATGGCCTTACATTTTATTGTAACGAGCTCAGTGCTCCACCTGAAGTATAACGAGGAGTCAGTCACTGAAGGAGCTTAGGCAGTAAAGTAGTATGGTCAGTTTTGCTTTGACATCAACCTCTGTGTGGGAGAGAGCAGATTTATTGGGGTCTAATAGAGAACAATGGGCATTTTAGAAGTGATTTAAAGAGGATATCCTCAAATGGTCACCAGATATCTGGTCACCAGATAATGTTTGCATTCATAAAGGAATACTCTCATGGAGGAGTTGACAACAAACTTTGGAAATTCAGAGAGTAAATGAAAATAATTTTGGAAGAGTGCACAACAAGAAAGGATAAAGAATAATAAATATGTCCATCTGGTGGAGGTTGATAACTCAGCATAAAAAGAGATTTGTCATCAGCAGGTGCACTGATGAGGACAAGTAAATTAATGTATTATAATACTAAGCCAAGTTATTTCCATTAGACCAAAGTTCTTCCATAACTCAGGGCCTCAAACATAAGGGTCCTAAGAATTAGGGCCTCAGAGGAAGTTTACTGGATTGAGCCAATATCAGTATGCCGTTAGGGAAATCGTAAGTGAAAAGGAAGAACATGTTATTTTAGTTGCAATTATTAGTCTAAGTTCTTTATCTTCTTTCATAAATGAAGAAAAATGATTGAAATTCAGGATAGTGGTAAAGAGATTGAATAAATTTTAAGTCAATCTAAGATTTTTCAAATCAAAATCTCAAAGTAAGGGACAATGCATATCAATTCAAACTGTTCAAAAATGTTTTTCACATCTCTTCTGTGAACAATGAGCCATTGTTACTCTATCATAGGGATTTGCATAGTATAACCATTTGCTAATATCACTAATTTTTCTTAGTAACTTAGATTCACAGTCAATACAAACTCTTCAGCAACTCTGCCAAGGAAATTGATATTACTACTTCCAAAATTGATTTTTTTTTACCTAAGGCATCTTAATTTTTTTTTTTTTAAACTACAGCCAGCTATTAGGCCATGCTTAAGAGACTTTCAGAAAGGAACAATGATGAGAGGAAACATATAACCCTATATTTAAAATATTTATTTTTATTTTTATTATTGTTATGAAAATTACTTTCCTAAGAGAATGGAGTTTAAATGAACACTCTCTGAAGTCCATTTCCTAGGGTAATCAATAATGACCTCATTTGTATGAAAAAGAGAGTACCTGTACATTTCGAGAGTAAAATTTATGGCACCCATATAAGTCAAGGGATAGGAATTTCTAACACTTTGAGACAGCAAATGCAGATTTATGTTGAAATACTTAATTTAGCTTTGATAAGACCTCCTATTCCTATACAAACATATATTTTCACTAAATGAAACTCAGGATCAATCAGAAATCTTGGTCTTCTATCATTAACACTTGAAAACTGTCTGCTCAAAAACTCACCTAACACTGTTCTTATGAGGTCAAATAGCTGGTGCCTCATTTGCAAAGAAGAGCTAGAACTTGCTGGCTAGGTACAAATGAAAGTAATTTTAACTGACCCATTAGAAAGTGGCAGGAATGATTTAGCACAATAACAAAGCAGATGGTAGTGCTGTGAAATACTTTCATTCTCAGACAGGAGTTCTGAGGTTTGGGCAATGGTGTATTGCAAGCACTTCCTTTTTGCATATTTGAGTGTATCATCAAAACGACCTCCTTTTTGTCATCAAGCGATGTTCGTTTATACAGCTAAAGGCAACCTTCGGAGCGGAGATGTCCATCAACAGCAAGCAGCATGGACACTCCCAGTTCTTTTTGGATGGGGTGTCCTTACATACATATCTGGTTTGGCTGCATAGCAAGTGCAAGGCTATTCACATGTATTATCTATATAATAATGCTTCATTTGCATAGCTTTTTATATGCATGCTATAACTGCCAACATTTCAATTAAAATAATATTGGAATTAAATATGAGCAGAGGAAAAAATTAGTAGTTGAGATGGAAAAAGGATGCTCTCATGTGTGATTAGACAATGATGGGGATTTGATGAAGTGGAAAGGTAGAAAGCTGTTCTGGATGCCAACTACCTGTATAAGCCCTAGCATCAATGATAGTGACATGTGATGGCAGTCTGCATCAGAAAAAATCCCTTTGCAATTTTGATAAGTATACACAGTACGAAAGTCAGAATCCATTGATGAACCTAAAGAAGCATTTGCCAGGAAGAGAG
Organism: Homo sapiens; assembly: GCF_000001405.40. Classification (NCBI taxonomy): domain Eukaryota; kingdom Metazoa; phylum Chordata; class Mammalia; order Primates; family Hominidae; genus Homo; species Homo sapiens. The sequence continues at coordinate 72,410,462 of NC_000013.11, read as the reverse complement.
GAGCAAAGGATCAAAATGTTTTATTTTTAAAATGCTTTCTGTGCCTGCAGTTCGTTAACAGAACTGTTCATTCCTCTAGTCATTTGTTCATTTAAGACAAAGATATCTCTACGTTTTCCTGCTCTCTTTTTAGAGTGCGATTTGGAAATGGGTCCCTATGGAAAATTAGAGTAGAAAGCAAAATGAAGACTGAAATCAATAGATAGCTATTTCTTTGTGTGTGTGTGTGTGTGTGTGTGTGTGTGTGTTGTTTTTTATCATTTTGTTATAATCAAAATGTTTTGCTAAATATTTATTTTCAAATATTTTGAATAATAGGAAATGGTAAAGCAATTACAAGTTTGGGATAATTTCTAATTTCATTTTCTTTGGAAATCTTATGTTGGAGAAATACATGTAAAGATACATGAAACGGAGGCAAGCCACACACCAATTCCGTTTTATGTGGATTCTGTTCTATGATATTAGTCGTGAGTAACTGGGGCCTTTCTCTTACAACGTAGAATCAGAGAAGGTTAAACAGAGCCTGTTGTTTAGAATAAGCAACAATAGAAAAGGAAGAGGTACTTGTGCAATTAAAGATCAGGGGATCTGGTTGAAATTTTGTTGTCAAGTTTAGTAAGACGAAAGTGAGACAGAAGTTTCTATTGTTACTATATCATACATGAGGAAAAATAAATATGACCCAGTCCACTATAGTGTCAGAAATGGAAGTCTGGTGGCCTTTTTGAATGTGATTTTGGATTTTTATTGCAGAAGTTCCTGCAGGCAACAGAGATATTGCAAAGAATTAATTTGTTTGGTTGTTTTGTAATGTTAATTTTTAAAAATTAAGTAAAGCATTTATTCTTTATAAAAGTTGAACAATTTAGAAAAGTATAATGAAGAAAATAAATATTACCATGGCATTAGATAACTTCCTAAATTGACTATTCTATAAAATAAAGATAGTATTTTCAGAGGAAAGATTGTGTAATTTGTAATTCTCATAGCTATGATGTTATATTCAAATACAATTTATCAGAATTCATATTGTGATTATAATTTAAATTTGTGATGCTTTTAATTGTTAATGCTTTTTATATACTTTCCATTGTATAAAGTAGTTAGGATAGATGTTATAAGATTATTCCCTGAATATTTAGGAGGTAAACTGCACTCCAGCCTGGGTGACAGAGTGAGACTCTCTCAAAAGAAAAAGTATATTAAATTTTGTCTAGTAACTTAATGTATAAGAAAATGGATATATTGAAGCAAAAAGCAAGAAATAGTAGTAGCACAAAATATTATAGGCATTTCAGAGAGGATATCCCATAAACAAAATCACTTATGTATTAATTTTAGAAAACAGTAGAACAGTTAAACATACTTTACTTTCTCCTGTAACAAGCCTTTACTTAAGGATCGTAATGTTTTATTATTAAAATTCCTTCTGTGCCTGCAGCTCATTAATAGAACTGTTCTTTCATTCCTCTAGCATGCTAAGCATATAGGTTTTTTTTTTTTGTTTTTTTTTTTTTTGTTTTTTTTTTTGAGACGGAGTCTCGCTCTGTCGCCCAGGCTGGAGTGCAGTGGCGCGATCTCGGCTCACTGCACAAGCTACGCCTCTCGGGTTCATGCCATTCTCCTGCCTCAGGCTCCAGAGTAGCTGGGACTACAGGCGCCCGCCACCATGCCTGGCTAATTTTTTTGTATTTTTAGTAGAGAGGGGGTTTCACCGTGTTAGCCAGGATGGTCTCGATCTCCTGACCTGGTGATCCGCCCACCTCAGCCTCCCAAAGTGCTGGGATTACAGGCGTGAGCCACCGTGCCCGGCCGCCAAGCACATAGATTTTAAAGGGGTTCATAGTGAGAAAACGTTTTACATGGAAAGACTGAGGCTGCAAAGTGATCCCCATCAAGCTACCATTGACTTTTTTCACGGAATTGGAAAAAACTACTTTAAATTTCACATGGAACCAAAAAAGAGCCCACAAACTCAATAGGAATTGAATTTTTAAAATATGGTCCTGCTTATCGATTTCTTTTGGAAGCTTCTATTTAGTAGATGTGACCAATTCGGACTCCTTTTTAATATATTTCTTGGAAAAATTTAACAAACCTTAGTCAATTATTTTATAAAGGGTCACATATTCTTTTTCTATCAGTGTGGCTCAAATTTTGCTGGTTGGAACAAATGAGCACTGGATCCTGAGTAGTGCAAGAGGTTGTTCTCCAAAGGCAGAGCTGAGTGTCTGTTTGGGGATCGAGCAGTGTTGAGCAACTCAGTCTGATCACCCTCCTTTTCTGATGTTCTATTTGGGTGGCCCAGTGCTATGGTGCAAGATACCGTTAGTATGCCCAGATGGCTGGATGGGTAAATTCCTCTGCCATCAGTCCCTCCCCTCTGCTCTGAGAGAAATGCTCCCTCTACCTGCCTTGACTCTGGCCCAGCAAGTAGAGCATCCTCTTCCTTCCTTGAGGGTCCTGAAGCCACACCCAGCTCCTCTGCTCTTTACAGTAATATTTTCAATAATATGTTAACTAGGACTAACTTCTATGACAAAATATATGTCAATTTCCTGCTCTAGTGATCTACATGCCTTTTATGTGCACCTTCTATCTCATGGACTGGAGGAAAAAGCACAAGGAGAAAAGGAAAAGTTTGACAAGATATGAAGTATAAGAAAGAGAAAGTTCATTGTGAGAATAGAAGGACGGAAAAAAGTGGAGTGACTGGCTATGGTCAGAGGATCCACATTTCCCCACTTGCAAGACATTTGTTTTCCTAAACAGTTTGCTAAAGCAATTGAATTTTTGTGTTACTTGCCATATAGAGTGTTGTTCATTGCTGATTTAAAGATGAGACCCTTTTGACTTTGTTCCACATGTGTGTGTGCCCAAAGCTAAGACTGTTTAACAGTTCACCATTTCCCCTTTTCTTAGCCCTTTGCCAGGATGGGCCAATCCTGGTCAGAAAGGAGAGAAATAAAGAGGCCCTTATTGACAATGGTATAATACAGCTGTGGGGTAGCTTTGGGGGAATATCTTCCTTTCTCCTGTGCTGTGCTCAATCCAAGTTGGAGGAGGTAATTCTCAATTCCAGATAAAAATTTAAAATTAATAAAAGGAGGTCATTTCAAGGTGAGAGTCACCAAAAAGAAAAGGAACAAATATCTCTCATTTCTTTGTATACTCAAACCAAAACACAAATTACAAGGACAGGAAAGTACATATCTTTGTCTCTATTCATCTTTCATGAATTAAATACCAGTAATTGTTTTTTTTTTAAAGTCAAATTTATACAGGACAAACATCACATGTGCTTAAGTTTATGATATGCTTGATTGAGCAAGAAATGAGAGAGGTGATGTTCTTGGTGGCAGAGAGTACTTTGAGATAAGAGGAAGGAATTTGAACGAGGTGCTTAATTAGTACTGTCTCCTTTGGAAATTAATTAATATTTAAACAACCTACATACCCATGAGTGAAAAAACACAAGAAAAGACTGGCCAGTATAAGAAAGAATGTGATTGTATTTTTCTGAGGCAGCAAGGCATTGTGGTTAAGAGCATGGACGCAGGATCTCCATTGATGGGATTTGAATTGCAGCTTTCCCACTTACTGGCTGTGAGATTGTGGGCAATTTACTGAACCTCTCTGTGCTTCAATTTCAATGAGAACAATGATGATGATAGTGGACATCTAATACACTGGTGATATTAAAACATTGTATATGGAAAGTGCTTATAGAAAGCATCATAAAATAATTTTTATTGAACATAAAGTTTTAACCAAAGGAGGTTAGGTTTGTAATGGAGTAATTTTATCTGTAGGAATCTGTTTAAAGGCAGAAAGTATGGAGAGTAAATTTGAGGTATAAATTAAGGGTCAGTGTTAATTGCTGTTATATTTTTAATTGTGCTCCATTTCCTAAGAGTAGTTTGACTATTCTATCTTCTGTCCTCATCAACCCATGGAACACTCTAATTAGGTAAGCTTGTCAGAAGACAGACAACGTGGGCATTCACCTACTAATTGAAAAGGCTAAGAAAGCTAAACTTGATTTATACATCATTAATGATTATATTTTGTCCAAATTTTTGAGTCTGGAAATTAAATATATTTAGGCTAGATCTGGCGTGATGACTCATACCTATAGTCCTAGCACTTTGGGAGGCCGAGGCAGGTGAATCACTAGAGCCCAGGAGTTCGAGATCAGTCTGTCCAACATGGTGAACCCTATCTCTACAAAAAAATTACAAAATGTAGCTGGGTGTATTTGTGTACGTCTATAGTCCCAGCTACTCTGGAAGCTGAGGTGGGAGGATCACCAGCCCAGGAGGTTGAAGCTGCAGTGAGCCAAGCTGTGATCATACCACTGCACTCCAGCTGGGGTGACAGAGCCAGAGTTTATCTCAGAAAAGAAAAAAGAAATTAAATATATTTAGAAATCAGGCATTTAAGTCTTAATCACCTGTCTGATGAAGACTTTTTGAGAACCGTGTTGATAGCTCCTCTGAATATTCTCCATACACATAACCCTAAACTGTCTAGTATTTATTAAGGCTCTTAAAATATAGGTCAAATCATTTTTACAAATCATTTTCAAGGTGACACAAGAACAGGTATACACAGCCCATTCCACCCAACATATGATTACCCAATGCAGAAATGTGCATCATTGACATTTAGATACTTCAGTGATCTAGTAGTTTTAGAAATGATGTTAATATGTATGTGGCTAAATCCATATTTAGTATTCTGCAGATGAAGTCAAAGTACACTTTGCCCTTAAGGGGGAAGATGACAATCAGAGTACAAAGGGAATATTGCATAAGAAGACTGTGTGTTTGATTTTTGAAGGCCACGCTGTCCCAAAAGAAGATTAGGCTGCTTTTGACTGTCTTTTGTTTACAGAATCAGAAATAAGATTACAAATTACCAAATAAACTCCCTGAAGAGTACTGAAAGTTTTGAGTTTGCAATTGCTTCCTGTGTCATTCAGGGCCCTGTGGAGAGGTGTGATGCCATTTTTAATGCATGCTCTAATAGATCTTTTTCTTGATGTGAAATCACCTCATATTATCAGTCAAGCTGACTTATTCTCTCCATCTTCAAAGAGAAAATTCAAACTATATCCTTCCCTGAAATTTTCACTCATTATCTTCTATGAATGACTTTTAATGCACCTTTAATATCAGTAACTTTCAGAATATCAGATGTTAGTTACATTCAAAGTGTGACTTTTTATTGACTGTTAAATCAATAAATATACTGTTTTGTCTGCCCCCCTGCCATGGGATGTTAAGAATGAACATTTTAGCGAGTTTAACTCTACGTTTCTCTGGAATTAAACTGAAATTATTTTATATTGAGAACCTTTTCTGTCTTGTTTTTATTGAAGAGGAAACATGAAAAGAAGGCATATTCAGCTTCAAGAAGAATCAATGGTGCTCAGTGTTGACACTGAACAAAGATGAGGAAAGACATCATCTTTTGCCTACTTTCTTTATTCCTAGTTAAAACCTAAAATGGAATTAAAGCTCTGCTTTATGGTGCATGCAGAACTCTAGATAAATGTTGATTGCTAATGTGGATGTCGTATCTGTGTCACTAGTGCACCCTATGACACATAGGACACATCCTTAAGAATAGGTATGGTGCTGAGAATTCTGATGGATGCCTGGTTATACTGTAACAACACTATTCACTCAATGAACAATAATTACTTGTTAAACTCCAGGCATACGCCCTATGATGAAAATGTTTGAGCCTAGATGTGCTTCAGAGTGGGGAATCTAAAGTCTTTTGGAAGCGGGTGAATGTAAGATAGTAATATTGAGGGGGGAATCTAATAATGACATTTACCTATCAATCTTCCAATCCAGTGACTTGGATTCTATACTAGTTCAGTCAAACATAAACTCAATCTAATTATAAAATTGTGGACAATTTCTTATTGGGCAATCCCATTTTTGTTATGATTTAAACAGATACTAGTTTATCAGAAATTTATCTACTATGGTAGTACAAACTAAAGCTCTACTATCAGTTATGAAAAGCTTCCACACATTAAATATCTGTAAATCTGCATCCTTTTTAAATAGATTGCTTGTTCTTTATGTTAATTATGGCTTAGACTTCATTTTATGTGCATTTCTGTTTCCAGACATGGAATGCCCCAAGTAACTCTTATCAAAAAATATATGAATAAGCAAAGGATTTTAGTTTATCTTGTTCTTTGAATTTTTGAGAAATACATATAGGAATTTAACTAATTCTATCAACATTTTATTTCATGTGGAGCAACTTCTAACCTAGTAACCTTGAGCAGCAATTAGCTATCTCTTTATTATCTCTCTTCATTTCTGGGGTCTTCAATATCTGTCTTGACTACAAATTGACGTCACACTTTTGTCATCATGACTGCTTACTCGACTCCTTCAGGTTTCATGTTGAATAGTGGTCATCTATTATATGCTACCTGATTATCTATTGGCTTTTCTGGGAGCTGCTGAAAATGGTATACAAATGGTTTGAAAATGGTTTCAAACATAATTTTATAAGCATAAATGGAGCTAATGCACTATTTCTCAGTATGGGATTTTACTTAGTCCACTTGACTACTTGTAAAGAATGTGTCTGGACAGTGACTCAAAGAACCTTTTTAAAAGAGTATATGAATCATACTCAATGATTTATTCACATATCTATTTTAAAAATTCCATTGGTCATGCTAAAAAAGGTTGCAAGCCCTTTGACTTAAGTATTTCTATAATGGCTGTTAAAATCAATTCTGGCATTAAAGTCTCCAAGAATGAACAATGCATTGAGTGGAAAATTGATTACATGGTCAAAGAACAGTCCTTTGTGGCCTCGTTTGCTTTTTCGATTAGCACAGCTGTCATGGCTGTTGTAGGTGGTCCTCAAAACTTATAGGAAAAAAAAAATCTGTCCTTGACACTGAATGTTTGTCTATGGATTTTTGGGAAAGAAATATGTTTTTGCTTGCTTATTAGTACTTACTGATGTAGGTACCAATGTCAAGTTGAGTTTTGCAAAGATAAAGGAAGGGTACGGAGACTAATGTGTGAAGAAAAATGAGCTGAGTGATACAGAAAACACTTCTAGGATTTTTATCTTAGTTTATGAGAAATACATTCTTTTGTAAGGCCAGCTGTTCTGATTGTAACTATAGTCATACCTATAGAACTATTTTTTTGATAGAAAATCAGTTGATGTATGGATTTGTGAAAGACTGTAGCTAAAGATGCATTTTCTTTTCTGCCATCAAAAAGACGCTTTCAGGCCAAGCCTTCTTTCTGGATTTCAGGGAGGGACTTACCCACCTACATTGATCTTGCATGCTTTTCCTTGAATTGCAGCCTGTGAATGCATAATAAGTGCTTATCAAAGTGTTATCAATTTATCTTGGATATATTTATTTCCTTATTGACTTATTTTGTACTTTTTCTTTATGAGGAACAGGTTTCAGATCAAAACCTCCTATAGTTCTGGAATGTTGAGCTGCTCTGCTCAGTATACCAATCCCTCTGGCTTGCCAGGCTAGCAGAAAAAGGACAACTTTCTACTTCTGTTCTTCTTGCCTATTGTATTAGTTTCCTCTTGCTGCCGTAAGAAATTACCACAAACTATTGGCATAAAACAACACAAATTTATGATCTTACAGTTCTGAAGGGGAGAAGTCTGAAATGGATCTCACTAAGCTTAAGTGAATGATGTGGTTTGGCTATGTCCCCACCCAAATCTCATTTTGAATTGTAGTTCTCATAATCCTTATGTGTCGTGGGAGGAACCTGATGGGAGGTGATTGAATCATGGGGGCAGTTACCCTCATGCTGTTCTTGTGACAGTGAGTGAGTTCTCATGAGATCTGATAGTTTTATAAGGGGCTTTCCTTCCCTTCACTCATTCTCCCCTTTCCTGCTGCTACGTAAAGAAGGATGTGTTTGCTTCCTCTTCTGCCATGATTGTGTTTTCTGAGGCCTCCCCAGCCCTGCAGAACAGTGAGTCAATTGAACCCCTTTCCTTTATGAATTACGCAGTCTCAGGTATTCCTTCATAGCAGTGTAAGAATGGACTGATACAGTGAAGATGTTGGCAGGGCTATATTCTCATTGGAGGCTTGATGGGGGATTTCATTTCCTTACCTCTCCCAGATTCTGGAGGCCACCTGCATTCCTTGACTTGTGATTTTCTTTCATCTTCAAAGCCAGCAATGGCCAGTCCATTCTTTTTCACATTGCATCACTCTGACTGACTCTCTTGCCTCCATCTTTCACTTATAAGAACCCTTGTGATTACATTTGATCTACTCAAATAATCCAGGATAATATCTTTATCTCAAAGTCAACTGATTAGTAACTTGAATTCTCTCTGTAACCTTAATCCTCCTTTGCCATGTAAGAGCATATGAACAAGTTCCAGGGGTTAGGATGTGGACATCTTTGTGGCGGGGTGGGGCATTAGTCTGTCTGCTGCACTTATATTGACTCAAAGTAAATTTACTGCATTCAAAGCATTTCCAATAACTATGTCATCACAGTTGGGTCTTTGACTAGGAAAGGTACCATGTGTCTGTAGAATTTCAGTGGTCTTCCCATGAGCCCCCATGCAGCTGGTATTTCCATCTGCAACAGGGATTTTTTTATCTGAGGTTTATGGACTTTTATGGGTTTCACAAATATGGGTCTTTGGATCCTTTGAAATTCTATGTTAAATATATTGGTAAATGCATTTTTTATTTTCAAAGAAGTCATGAGCAAAAATTATATAATTTTTATATATAATTCTACATATTCCTACATCCAATTGTCATTTTTCCAAAATCATAGTTTTGATTCTTTTCCTTCCTTCTCAGAAAATGAGAGTGGGTTGCAATGATTTTGAGCTTATATTAAAACCTACAAGCATTTGATTCAAGATTTTCCACTAGAACCTACTTAGTATTCTGGAAGGTTAACATAGAGGAATTTCTGGTATTTTACTGGTTTTTTTTTTTTAACTGGACTAAGTACCTTTGGTGACTAAATTACTAGTAAATCTTTCAGTCAGGTTTTCCATTTCTACAACTTTGAGCATCATGCAAAGGATAAATATATTCCAGAGCTGAATCAAGAAGAATTAAAGGTTTCTTGGAAGATTTTATCTTTCCACTGCCAATCCTGTTTCTCTTTATTCTATTTGCTATTTTGGGGGCAAAACTTGCTCTAAACTTTTTAAAATGTCTTTTGCTTTTTAGATCTAAGATTCTTTTATTTGCATAAATTTATGGGATATAAGTGTATGTTTGTTACATGCATAGGTTGTGTAGTGGTGAAATGAAAAAAAGATACTATTGGTGTGGTTTTGATGTCACAGATAAAATGTGAAGGAAGAATTAAGTTTGTGGGCTACCAAATTTCTCTCAGAAACTCTTCCCTCAAGTGCCTTATCTTTCTCTCATCTGGTTGTCAAGTAAAACTGTGTTTCTTAACTGATAATTAAGACTGTGGCTTTCGCGTGCTTGGATGGTAAAAGGAACTCAGGTGTTTAGGAAGAAATGTCCAAATTTTTCCTCTTCCCTGGTCATTCTGTGAATTGAAGGCCTGCGAACTTTTGTCCTTCATGTCCTTGGCATTTCTGTCCTGAGAAACTCATCAGAACCTTTTCATATCACAGTGGGCTCTGTTAGGGCAGGTAGGTGAATTATTTGTGAGAATCTGCCATGCTCCCCTCTCCCAAAGTAGTTGCCATGTATCCGACCTTGGGAGGCAGTGGATGAATGAGGATTTGGCACGACACCTCTGTAAGATTGCCAAGCCTTGCTAAACCCTACTGTCTAGCTACCTACCACTTTCCATCTTTCAAATCTTAGCTCATCAGTTTAATTAAGTCTCAGCAGACACCTGCCAGGCCTCCATTATAGGGGTAGATTTTTAAAACTCACTTCTTAAATCAAGAAACTTCTATTGAGCACTTACTGTATGCAAGACAGTGTTATATGTAATGAAATAGTGAGTCATACATCTTACTTTATCTGATACTTGCTCCCATAAAGCTTAAAACATAGTTTAAAAGGTAAAGAAGAGAGACAGAGGGAGAGAGAGAGTAAAGAAGGACCCAGAGAGGGGAAGAGAGAAAGAAGGAGATATAGATAGATGGATTGATAGGTATAGATATTAAATAATACCAATTAAAGAAATACCACAGGTGATATTTTCGCCAAATGACTAATTGCCAAATGAGTGCTGTGAAGTTAGGTGACCTTGGTTCATAGATAGGAGAGATCATTGTGGATTGGAGGGTGAACTTGAGATAGTTTTGAAAGATAGCCAGGTGGAGAATAGAGTGGAAATTTTGAATAGGTGGAAATTGCATGGACTGGAGACGAGAATGATCTGATATAGATCATTTATTAAAACACTCTTTTTTAGCTTTATGCCTTACAAAAGCCCATGATTTACTCTTTTTAAGGTTTTTTTTTTTTTTTTTTTTTGAGATGGAGTCTTGCTCTATTGTCCAGGCTGGAGTGCAGTGGCACAATCTCGGCTCACTGCAACCTCAGCCTCCTGGGTTCCAGCAATTCTCCCACCTCAACCTCCTGAGGAGCTGGGAGTAGAGGAACGCGCCACCACACCTGGCTAATTTTTGTGTTTTTAGTAAAGCTGGGGTTTCACCATATTGGTCAGGCTGGTTTTGAACTTCTGACCTCAGATGATCCACCCAACTCAGCCTCCCAAAGTGCTGGGATTACAGGTATGAGCCACCGTGCCCGGCCTATAACTCTATGCAGTTGGTAATCTAACCATAGAAGAAAATAAGGATTAATTTACATTGATTATACATGTAAATATGTGCTTTAATTCATATTTACAGGCAACAAGCACACATTTGATTATTAAAATATGTAATTAACCCTGTCAGCAATATTCACAAAGCCGCGTGCTGAAAAAATGTTTTTATTTCATCAATAGAATGTTTTTTGCCAAAATAACTTTAAAACCTTCTTTAGAGTATGTTAACTTTTCACAATCATGAACTTTTTGTGGGCCTCTGTCTTCAGCTTGACATTTCTTTGAGATATTTGTAGTTGCTGTACTATATTTACTTGTGATTAAATGGAACCCTCAGCTTGTTGATAATAACTTTTGGCTTGCAAAGAGCAATACAAAAATTTAAATGATTTAAAGTATAGCCCTTCCTTGATATCAACCATCCAACATTATTCTAATAAAAGAATGCCTAACATACTTTTAATGAATTTCCTTTTATATAAGATAAAATATTTAGTAAGAGAATTTAAGATGCCCATTAGAGCATCTCATTCATAAATGTCCAGGATGTTCATCTTGCAGGACCTGATGATTCAAAAAGAAGGATTATGTACTGAATAGAATTATCCAGCAAGTGAATTTACCATTGGAGAAGAAACCTCCAAAGGCATGACTACAAAGATCCTTTATTAAAACTTGGCATACTAAAAATAAAATCTTTTTCTCTCCTTTAACAAATCTCTGTACAACAGGAAACTCACCTTTCCTTCCCCTCCCCCGCCTTTTTTTTTTTCCATAGTAGGCACATAGATGATAGAAAGGAATTTTCAGCTGAATGCTAGTTAGTGACTTTGAAGGAACTGTTAACAGCTGTTCAAGGCCAAAATAGATTACTCTGTTTTATGCAAAACCTATCAGCATTTTTGTATTGCACATTTTTTTATTTTCTCAGAGTTAATTGCTAAATGTCATCCACTCCTTCTGTTCTAGTGAGGCTGAGTTTTCTCGAGATGTTTTATAACTTTCTCCTTGGAGATTTCAATCTCTGTCAAATATTCTATTTTTTTCTTAAACAGTACCTTAGAAGGAAGAACATTCCGAATGTCCCTTATGGTAAAGATAAGTAGAAACATTAATCTCCCTGTATGTTATCTTTATTCTTGATCAGAAATTTCAAGGGATCTACATATTTGAAAAAAATAGGTTGAAGCTTAAACATTTCATTCATACTCTTCTTGCCTTTTTATTTCTCCAGTCTCTTCCTTTACAATAGCTGTGCTTTTCTAATTCTTGGATTAAATGATCAAATTGTATCCACTATATTTTTCTGTATAAGTCTGAAAAAATAATTTAACAGCAAGCTCATAGGTTCTAAAATATCTTTTTTCAAAAGTACCCATGCACTTTAGTGGGAGTCTCTTGAGCTCTTTCAAAAATGTCTGGGTTGAAGACATTTGTTTATATTCCTTACCTAAAGGGTATCTTCCTCTTTTCACAATGTAACTAGGTCCTTTAGTCAAAATGTCAAACACCAGCCTGTCAACAAATCATGAAATAGGTAAGTTTCCTCTGAAGGTCATGCATAGAATTGCTCATCAAAGAATTATACCCAAGGTCTTGTAGCTTGACCACTTATGTTTGCTCATTTCACATTAATTTTTTTTTCTTTTTTGGTAAAGCTACCATCACCCTACCTGGATTTCTCCACCTCTATGCTTGCATTAGCATCAAGTTTTTATGTTTTGAATCATAAGGGGTGCTTATATAAACCTCCACTGCATTCAGTACTTTAAATAGGTAGAGATAAACAAAACAATACAAAACAACTCCCCGGGTGCCCAGGTGTCTCTGTTTTCTCCTCGGTTACACTGGGCAGTGGGGAGGTGGGGAAAGATGTCAGGAACTCTCAGAAAAGACAAACAAACAAAAAAACTAAAACCAAAACCAGCAAAGGTTGGGAGCTGAAAGAAGGAAATACACTGACAATACCTGGGTGCAGATTTCCTCGGAATGAAGCTTTCCATATAGGCACCTCACATTAAAGGCTTTTTAGTTATCCCACTCAACCAGCCTGCCAAATTTCCTCAAACCTAATTACTGGACAAAGACACTGCTGCAGGTCAGTCATTGTCCCTGGAGGCTGACAGTTAAACATCTTATTGGTTACCTTGGAGAAGTAACACACTACTTATCTGCAATGACATGAACTCACTAGACATTTAAATATGTGGGCTAGATTCTAAAGTGTGGGCGTCTGAGCAGCTGGGTACAGATTGTGGAATAAAGATTTTGGAACATTACAGGAGTAGAAAACCTATGTAGTCTCAAGAGGTTATGCCACAAAGTCAATGAGGTTACTAAAATAGGTGGCTACTAAAATAGGTGATGATGAATTTTGTATGTTTCAGTTTTCCTAGCCTTAAAAAAAAACCTATCCAAAGTTCAGAGTGTACACTATATGTAAAAAAATAGAAAAAGTGATGATCCTTCCCAGAAAACAGAAATACTATTCCATGAATGCTACACATTTTTCAAAAGCCTTGGATAGACTGGAAAGTCTTTAAGAATAACAAGGAAATCTGAAAAATCTATTACATTGGACCACATTTAAAAAAGATTTTGAAAAGAGACATTCCTAAAGATGAAGGAGCTTGCTCCTGGTGGATTGTCATGGTTACTTGAGGTTGGGTTTTTCCTTCTGTTGTATCCACTGAAGGCAGTGCCCAGCCTTGTTGAGAGACATTGAATCATCCTCAGATGTGTTTCCTGAATATGGAGTTACTTAACCTAACTCGTCCACCAGCTCTCTTGTATGATGAGTTATTGATAAGACTATTTTAATCTTCTGTTTTCCAATTTAGAAAGATTGTATAAGATCTGTCATTATTTTTAATACTTGAATGTTATTCTATTGTATAGAGGAACTGTAATTTAATTAACCAATCCTCTGTTGTTAGACATTTAAGTGTTATTGATTTTTCAACGTTACAAATAAACTCATGATAAACATCCTTATTCAAGGATATAAGAATGTCTCCATAAGAACCGGCTACCAGTCATAAACTCACCAATAGTGTGTGAGTGCCCATGTCCACATATCTTTATAAACACTATGATATTTGAAAAACCTTCCCCATCTGATAATTTGTATTTAATTTGCATTTCTCTGGTTATTAGTGATATTAAATTTCTTTTACTTGGTTGGAACATAGGTCAGCAAACAATAGCCCACAGGCCAAATCTGACCCGTGGCCTGTTTTTTATACAGACCCAAGTTAATAATTGTTTTTACACTTTTAAAGGGTTTTAAACAATCAAACAGAAAAGAAAAATATGAGAAAAAGATTATATGGCCTGCAAAGCTTAAAATATTTACTACCTATATCTTTACAGAAAATGTTTAAACCCCTGACTCAGCGTGAAATAATAGTAATTTAAAATAGCAAATGTTATTAATCCTAACTAGAGGGCAGACACAGTGCTAAAGGCTTTGTATGTACTGCTTTATTAAATCTCTGCAGCAATTCTACCAGACAGATATTCTTTCCTGACTATTTCTAAGCTGAGAAAACAGTTCAAAGAGGTTAAGTAACTTGCCCAACATCTCATCTCCTAAGACTGTACATTTAACTACTATGCTAAATTGTATATGATTTTGTTACATTCATACATTAATTTTGACATAACTAAAATCTCTGTTAAGGCTTTATATCCAGAGACATGATGTCTCAATTTATTCACATCTTCTTTTATGTTCCTCTGTAAAGTTTTGTAGTTTTCTTTATAAAGATGCCATGTATCATTAATATTTTCTCCCAGGCATTTTATATTTTTGGTTGTATTATGAATAAGATAATTTCCCATTTCTAGATTTTCGACAGTTATTATTATCTAGGAAAGGAATTGAATCGTGTTATGTTAATTCTGTAACTAGTCATAGTTTTGAACTTCCCTAATAGTTGTAGTCAAATTTCATTTGTTCCCTTTTGTGGTGTCTAGGTAGACAATAATAATAGGTTTGCTACCTCATCTATAATATTAATATTTTTCCCTGTTTAATGATTTCACCAATTGTACTTTCAGAATGATGTTGACAGGCATCCTTGTATTCAGATTCTCTTTTTTTGATACAGCCATGCTCTGTCGCTCAAGCTGGGGTGCAGTGAAACGATCTTGGCTCACTGCAACCTCCATCTCCTGGGTTCAAGCAATTTTTGTGCCTTAGTCTCCTGAGTATTTGGGGCTGCAGGCGCAGCCACCATGCCCAGCTAATTTTTTTTTTTTTTTTTTTTTTTTTAGTAGAGACCGGGTTTCCCCATGTTGGCAGATTGCTCTCGAACTCCTGACCTAAAGTAATCTGCCCGCCTAGACCTCCGAAAGTGCTGGGACAACAGGCGTGGCCTGTATTCAGATTTTTATAGGGATGAGTCTACTCCCTATCATTCAACAAGATCCTGAATGTTGTTTTGTGATAGATGTTAAGGCATGGTAAGAAACTGTTGTCGTACGTACAGAAGAACAATACACACTGGGGTCTTTTGGAGAGTGGAGGGTGGGAGGAGGGAGAGGATCAGGAAAAATAACTAATGGGTACTAGGCTTAATACTTGGGTGATGAAATAATCTGTACAACAAATTCCCATGACACAAGCTTACCCATGCAACAAACCTGCATGTGTATCCCTGAACTTAAAACAACAGTTAAAAAAGAAACTGCTGTCCTATTCTTATTTTACTCAGAATTTATTATTTTGAATTTTTTAAGAATCTTATTAAATACCTTCTGGGTATCTAATGAGATGATTATATAATAAGAGCAAACTATCTTTACATTCTTAAAATGATCTTTATTTGGTCACGGTGTTTGCTAACCTTTAAGAATACTGTTATGGATTCATTTTGTTTGTTTGTTTAAGGATGCTTTGTATTTCAGTCCTAAATGAATTTGCTCTACAGTTTTCTTTCCTTGAAATTTTCTTTCTTTAGTAATGTTAATACTGTAAAATGAATGGTGATATTTTTCATTTCTTTAATGCTTTTGAAAATACCTTTTAAAGCATCTGTAGGAATGATTTGTCTTTCAAATGGATAATCAGTAAAGTTTGTCTATTAAAAAAATATGGGCCCCGTGTCATTTTCAGGGGTAGCTGTTTGGTAGTTCTACTTTCTTACATTCCATAGTTGTTAGATTGGATAACACTTTGAGTCAGCTTTGGTAATTTATTTTCATCAAAAATTTTGACTTTATATATTTATCATGTACAATATGATGGTTTAATATATGTATACATTGTAGAAGCCTAAAATAAGCTAATTAACATATGCATTACCTTACATACTTATCGTTTTTGTGGCGAGAACACTTAAAATTTACTCTCAGCAATTTCCAAGAATAGAAAACATTGTTATTAACAATAGTCACAATGGTGTACAAGAGACATCTTCAGCGTATTCCTCCTATCTAATTGAAATTTTGTATCCTTTGAGCATTTCACCCTACTCTCCTTCTCAACCCAGCCCCAGGTAACTACTATTCTATTCTATGCTTCCATCAGTTCAGTTTTTTAAGATTCCACTAATGAGTGAGATCATGCAGTATTTGTCTTTCTGTGCATGACTTATTTCACTTTATGTAATATACTCTGGATTTATCCATGGCATCACAAATAACAGGATTTTATTCTTTTTTAAGGGTATATAATCTTCCATTGTAGATAGATATATATATACATATATATGTATATACTCACACACATATACATAGTATATGTGTATATGTGTGTCTATAAATATGCAATACACACACGTACAAACTATGTGTATATATATACACACACACCTACACACACACACTATATATGTATATATACCTACACACACATACATACTATATATATATATATATATATACACACACACACACACACATACACACTATGTTTTCTTTGTCCATTTGTTCACTGATGGGCTTAGGTTGATTTCATATCTTGGCTATTGTGAATAATGCTGTAATGAACGTGGGAGCACAGATATCTCTTTGGCATACTGTTCTCATTTCCTCTGGATATGTACCCAGTAGTAGTGGGATTATTGAATCATAAGCTGTTTTACTATAAATCTAAGTATTCTGTTTGCAAGTACATTTTCAACACCCATCCATTCATTCAATATATTTTAATATATATGCATTGACCTCTCCAATGTGCTAAATTCCTGGGGATAAAATGGTGAAAAAGGCATAGACTTTGTCCTCAGGAAGCTTTTATTTTTATGGCAGAGACAGGCAGAAAACAAAGAAAAGATGAATAATCAAAATAATTACAGAATAATCCAAACAATTTGGTGGTAAGGCCACTGAAGGAAAAAACGGTGTATTGGGATAGGAAATGGCAGTGGAGGAGGTGGCTGAGAAGAAGGCAGCCGTGCAGAGCTTGGGTGGCAGAGAATAATGGATACAAAAACTACATATTCCATCTATGTGTCCTAACGTGGGAACAGAACCTAGCATGCTCTGGAAATGTTCAGAGTTGCAGAAGCTGGAGCCTGGTGAGCAATGACATAGGGAGGCATCAGCTGTGGTGGAGCAGAGATGGTACCAGATCTTATAGGGCACATAAGCTTTGCTTATGGGTTTTAATGTTATGTGTAATGCAATGAAAGCCACAGAAGAATATGAAGCAGGGAAATGAAATTATCCAATTTGGGTTTTAAAACATATTTTTTGACAGCAGCATAGAGAACATATTAAGAGCTCTTTAAGGTAGAAGTAGGGAGATCAGCTAGGAAGCTGTTGGGGTAGTCGGGGTGACAGACGATAGGGGATTGGATTAGAATAATTGCCCTGGAGAGGGAGAGAACTGGAAAGTTTCAAGATGTATATTTTGCATATAGAATAGAAAAGTTTGGTTGGTAGATTGAATATGGAGGTTTGAAGGAAGGAGAGGACTAAAGGATATCTCCTAGGCTTCTGGTCTAGCAACTTTGTGGTGCTTTTTGCTGAGTTAGGGAAGACTACATGAAGTGGAACAACATTGAAGAAAATTTTGTTGGGACATGTTAAGTTTGAGATGTGTATGAGATATCTGAGCTGAGATGTCAAATAGCAGCTGGATGGGTGAGTCTAGAGTTCCCTGGAGATATAAACTGACAGTCATAAGTATATACATGGTCTTTTGAGCTACCAGAAAGGGTGCTATTGTATAGGACAACAGGTAAACATATGAGGACCAAGAACAAATCCCAAGGAATTCCAACATTGAAAGTTCAGGTGGAGGTAGAGGCAGCAAAAGAGAGTGTGTGGAAAACTGGGAAGTGGTGATGTTGTGAGGCTGAGCAAGGAGGACCTTACAGGGACCATTTCTGAAGATTCATTGCTCAGTGGCAGTCCTTCCATAAGTGACTTTCTTATTGAGGTTATTATTCTGAATTATTTCTTAGTTGGCTGGAGAAATGTTGTAGTTACTTCTCACGGGGCGAGATCTCAGGTGGAATACTTACCGAGTCGTTGGTATCTGAGACAGTCTTGCTGCGTTACATGTGAATAAACTTTGGTAAATCTCTAAATCCTGGATCCCAACTCCTCAAAACTCAGTTATCCTCTACATGCACATACCGTTGCAAAGATGCTTATGGTCAGTGTGAAATTCAATAATTCTACCAGGCTATTTATAATTATTAGTTCTTTCTAGTGACTATTTTTCTAGTGCAGGACACATTATTTCTATTCTTGATGCAGGATTTTCTTCAGTTTAGGTGTGTTTTTGTCTGTTATCTCTTTTGGATATGGATTGTTTTTCATCTGTAGCAGTCTTGAGAAACACAAATTACCTGTATGTAGGGTTGTGATTGTCTGTTCTCAATCTTCTATCTAATAATTGTCATTGGTTTTTCTTTTCCACTGTATTCTGGGAGGTTTTTTCAAGGCCAAACTCTGTATTTGACTTTCACACAGTTCATTTTGTTCTCTGGAGCTTATTAAACACTAGAAATTTTAATGAATTAAGTATTGACATTCCATTATTACCTGTTTCATTTCAAATCATTCCTGATCTCACATGCCTGCCTTTGCACTTCTGCTCATCAATTAGTTGGTTCTCTTTCATCTCTGTCCTTTGACTTACTGTCTCAATTTGCATCTTTATTTTTGTAGAAACAATGTTTCTTCCAGCTTGTATCTGAAATACTTTGCCTGCACTAAATGTTATAAAAATGTTTTCTGCCTCTGACCTTGTTGACTCCAGTTAAAGATTTCTTTTACAGGCCCTACTATCTATATCTATTTTCCACTTATTTCTTCTCTTAAATAGTGAGCATTGTGACCAAGCATGAGATTATCTCTGGAAATAGGGAGAATTATTGTTGGGTTTCTTGATTTGTTTGGATACAGATGGACACCTGCCTTTAAGCAGAAATCTCAAAGCTAATTCGTGATCAATTACTTGACAGAAGCAGGAGAAAAAGTGAAGTATTCACTTACCACGAACAATGGTGCTATTGAGAAATGTCCTCTGGAGATGCTCCATTCGGTATTGCCACATAATATCTGTTCATTATCCCACTGCCTCCACTACCTTGGCATTTTTCCTGGAATTTTGCTTACTCATAGGATTTTCACCTGGAAATTTTCTATGCCTCCTTAGCCCCAGAGTGTTTGAGAGGCCTTGGGGCTCCACCTTGAACTTTCTGTGATGAGTCATCATTAGTCGGTCTTCCTTAATCTACCTAGCAGAAGTTCCTTGGTGCTTCTGACATGTTCATGACTCTCTTTTCTAGTTCCCAATGTTGATGCAGTCCTCCCATTTTATCTTATTAAAATTATTGTTTTTAGAATTGGGGGAGGGGTTGGTGATTGGGGAAGTAATCATGTGCTCAAGTTCACATCATTCTCTACTCCCTGTTCTACATTATTTTTAACAATAGAATATTATACAGCCATTAAAATTACTTGCTAACTGCAATATATAAATGTTTTCTGTAGTATAATCTTAATTTCATTGAAAATAGTTCCATATATTTGAGCTCTACATAAGTAAACAAAAGGGCTAAAAGTAATATCCATAAAACATTACTCGTGGTTATTTCTAGGGTATAAAATTATAGGTGACTTTTACTTTCTTCTTTGTAACCGGGTATATCTCTCTAAATTTTCTATACTAAATACGTATAACTTTTAAAGCTATAAAATGAACTGGCAGTTTCAAATGTCATGTACTCCAGGCATCAGCCACAGGGACTTTTCATTCCTTTCCTAATACAGTATATTCTTTGCTAGATCCTAGTTTGGAAAGTGGTTTGTCTTTGTTATTGTTTCTGTGTGGCTCACTACAATCCTTTCTTCCCCTGAGTGGTGGGGCACTCACAGGGCTTAGTTAGAGTTCCCTCCCTTTACTTCCTGGGCATGTTTCTCTCTCATAAGAGAAGAAACTAGGAGACTTCCATGTGTGCATGCCTCAGACCTTCTGTTTTACCTTATCTAGAGCAGAAAATGTTTGAAATTTCTAATATGTGGGTGACAACCTTTCTTATTTTCAGGCTGCATTTTCCCATATAAGTGTGTTTTGAGAAAATTTTGCTAAAGCATTTGAAAAACTTTGAATGGCATGCTGGTTACTCAGTGGGTGACAGTAATACATGTTGAACAAAAATTTATTTTTTGGGGGGGGAAATTTTTCTCTTTAATAGAAATGAAAGGCTATTTACTGTTTCCAAAATATATATAAATTTATGAAAGGGGAAGAAAAGTTACATTTAATGCGTTTCTCCTGTGTATGCTTAAAATAGTTAAAAAATGTTTTGTTATGGAAAATTTGAAATATATGCAAAGGTAAAGAGAATAATATAAACTCCCAGATATTCATCACCCAGCTTCAATAATTATTATCCCCTTTCTGATTCAAGGACAGCTATACTTTCACTTTTTTTCCTATAGTATATTTCACAAATCTCAGACATTTCACATAAATGCTTAATATGTCTGTAACATATAAAGATGTTTAGAAAAAATTAGCCACAATGCCATTATTGCACATGACAAACCAAAGAAACAAGTTACTAATATTACCTACCATCTATTTATATTGAAATCTCCCCAGTTATTTTTTTAAAAAATTCTTCTGTAGTTGGTTTGTGTTGTAGTTTGGATATTTATCCCCACCCAAGTCTCATGTTGAAATGTAATTCCCAGTGTTGGAGGTGGGGCCTGGTGGGAGATGAATGCATCGTGGGGGCAGATTTCTCATATGTGGTTTAACACCATCCCCTTGGTGCTGTCCTCATGATAGTGAATTCTCATGAGATCTGATTGTTTAAAAGTGTGTGAATACCTCCCATCCTTCTCTCTCTCTTTCTCTCTCTTGCTCCTGCATTTGCCATGTGATGTGCATGCTCCTCCTTTGCTTTCTGCCATGATTATAAACTTCCTGAGACCTCCCTGGAAGCCGAGCAGATACCAGAACCATGCTTCCTGTAAAGCCTGCAGGATGATGAGCCAATGAAACCTCTTTTCTTTATAAATTACCCAGTCTCAGGTACTTATCTATAGCAATACAGAAATGGCCTAATAGAGTTTGCTTAAATCAGGATCCAAACAAGTTTCATACATGGTATCTTTGTCCTCAGGCTGCTATAACAAACCACCTTAGTCTGGGTAACTTATAAACAACAGAAATTTATTTCTTATGGTTATGGAGCCCACACAGTCCAAGATCAAGGTGCTAGCATATTCGGTGTCTGAGGAAGGTAAACTTCCTCATAGGCTGTGCCTTCTAGCTGTGTCTTCACATGGTAGAAGAGGCAAGGCAGTTCTCTGGGTCTTTTTTATAAGAACACCAATCCCATTGAGTAGGAGATAATCTAATCACTTCTACCTGCCTCCCTGCCACTTCCTAATACAATACCATCAGCTTGGGTTTGGGATTTCAAAATATGGATTTTGGGGAAACACAAATATTCAGACCATAGCACTCAGCATCTGGCTGATATGTCTCTCTCTCTTTAATCTTTAAGTGCCCTTCTACACTTTTTGTACCATTGATTTTTGTTAAGGAAACCTGACCACTTACCATGAAGCATATTCTATATTTTGGATTTGGCTGGTTGCTTCCTTGTAATGTTTTTAAGCCTTTTGCTATTCCTTATATTTAATGACAGTGATTTTTAAAGAAAGTTTTGTCACTGTTTTACACATCATAAAACTGTGCCTCAGAGAATTTAAGTAACTTATCAGTGGCAGAGCTGGGATTTAAATACTCATCTGCCTGATTTTAAGACCCAGACTCTCTCTACAATACCTTACTTCATAAATATATAGTTACTTAAAAAAGGAACAAGGATGTGGAAAGGAAGAAGAGAGATGGGGAAAAGCTGCAGAATTTTGTTTCCATTGTAGAATTTTATCATGGTACAATGTGAGGTAAGGAGAAACCAGAATAACTCAGTTTTTGGCTATCAGTTTGTATACTCTTTCTTTTTATCACATGTTCACAATGTCTGGAATTCAGAGGCTTTTTACATTCCCAGTAAATGATTCTGTTGCACTGAAAGAATGAATGCAGAAAGTAGGTTTTACTAAAGATCTTGTGCAGCTGGAGCAATGTTTAACATCGCCATGCCGCGTGTATTATTTGCAAGGGCAGGTGTAACAAAGTGCCACAAACTGGATATCTTCGAGAACAGAACAGAAATGTATTGTCTCACAGTCGGGAGGATAGGAGTCTGAAATTATGGTGTTGGTAGGGTTGATTCCCTCTGAGGGCTATGAGGGAAGGATCTGTTTTGTGGCTTGCATATGGCCATCTTGATTTACATATTAGCCTGTATGTGTCTTCATATCTCAAATTCTCCTTTATATAAGGTCACCAGTTATATTGGATTAGGGACCACCCCCCCCCAATGACCTCATTTCAACTTGATTATTCCTATAAAGACCCTATCTCCAAATAATGCCATATTTTTATGTGCTGGGGTTTAGGACTTCAACCTATGAATTTGGGAAGGATACAATACAACCCATCATAACATGAAACACATATTGCAGCACATGGAGTCACAAAGCTTGTGTATTTCCTCCAGGTCCTTCTACCCTTGCCACCATCCTTCCTCCTGAAACAGCAAGCTTCATTACAAATGCATTTCTCTTCTTGTTTCCTGGAAGCAACTCCATACATTTCTCTTTGTCCCAGGTTCCAGGGCCCTGTTTCCAAGAGGGTTTTCAAAGCATTCAACCTACAAAGAATCCTCCTCAGGACGATTTTTATATTAGTGTCAAGCTAGGCAAAAACTAATTGCCAGTTCCAGGCTTTTGAAATTCAAATACATGAAAACCTCGATTGAGGACAAGCTTGAGTAGTACCTAAACCTGAAAATATTTTGTGAGCCAGAAAGAATCATTCTCATTTGTTATGAGGAAAAACCCAACATTCAATAAACTGTGGTTTAATCAGTTTTATACATATATTTTTTTATTTCTTTAGATTTTATTTTACTTAATTCTAGTTGTTGGCAATGTTACCAATGTTCAGCTGCTTTTATGAAAGATATTACTTCTTATTTTTATAAAGCTGATGAATGAAGAAATGTACTGTTCTAATTCAGCACACTATGACTGCAGTTTAAACCTGGAGGCTTTCAGCTTACACAGTGATACCTCTCCTAAGTGGATCTCCTAAGTACATTCATGCTTCTTTGAAGGGAGTAAATAAACATTGGGAGCTTTGGATCTAGACATTCCAAATAAAAATGGTAAAAGACACCTCAGTGGAGGAACGTAGAGTCATAAATGACCTAGAATTTCAAAATATTTTAAAGTGTGTGGAATAACTTTTGACTTAAAAAGATTTTATTTTTTTTTAACCTGGAGTTACTTAAGCTAGTATTCCTTGAAGTACTTTTCCTGGCTATCCAGGAAAACAGGGCTAGTTCAGAAGTGGGTCAGTTGTTAGGTAGATACTAAGAATTAAAAAGAATGCTACAAATAACCCACAAACTGGATCATCTGCATGAATAATCTAGAGTTGTCTGAGATTAGAATTAGTGAAATCTAGTGACTATAGGAATATTTCACATAATTTGTGTAGGAAAATCTCCTGCAACCTACAGAAATCCAATCATTTTTGATCTGTTATTTTCTCTCAAGAAACCTTGCACACATCAATGAAGTTTCAGTTAAAAACAGCACTCTAGGAATAAAGCTGCTCCATTATCTCAAGCTCTGCCACTATCCTGCGTGTCAATACTCAGACCAGAAACCTTTTTCTAACGTTGATGGATGCGCTGTGTCTCAGTGTGTATGTGCCTATAGTTAGATTTTGCTTTTAAAAAGGAGCCATTAACCATGCTTATTTCAAAGTGTTTTCCCTTTTTTATCTGCGCTATCAAGCTGATGTTTAACTATTTCACAACATGTATTTCTCTAAAGTGTAGCAAAGGTGAACCAGAATTCTCTTTAGCAATGAATTTTATTTTGAATGATACAGAAAGTGTCTCCCATATGTTCAGAAAAGTAAATTATTATAGAGATTTTTTTTCCGTCAAGTCTGATCACTCAGGGGACAGCAATCTGGGGTCTAGAAAATTGTAACTGATGTCTGGAGATTACCAGTATTTAAAGCTAGTCTCTTTGGTTGAACCATATAAAACTGCCAATACTATACTATTCTTTACCTATTTCATATGTTATATGGTCTGGCTCTGTGTCCCCACCCAAATCTCACCTTGAGTTGCAATAATCCCCACATGTCCAGAGTGGGACCTGGTGGGAGGTAATTGAATCATGGGGGTGGGTTTTTCCTGTACTGTTCTCATGAGATTTGATGGTTTTAAAAAGGGGAGTTGCCCTGCACATAGTCTCTTGCCTGCTGCCATTAAGATGTGCCTTTGCTCTTCCTTTGCTTTCTGCCATGAATGTGAGGCCTCCCCAGCCACGTGGAACTGTGAGTCCTTTAAATTTCTTTCCTTTATAAATTACCCAGTCTCAGGTTTGTCTTTGTTAGCAGCATGAGAACAAACTAATACAATATGGTTCATAATTTCTTTAATTTGAAGAATTATATGTTATATTTTGACTGAAAATAGGAAAAAAGTGTTACTTAAAGGCAAGTAGAACAAATAAAGGGTCAGTAACAGGTTTTTTTTAAAAATGAAAAAATAGATTTTATTAACTATTTCTGCGACTCAGTTCATAATTTTAAGAAGCACACCTTAATGTCAGAGAATGAACTTTTGCCTTGGTCCAGTCTAAATGTAATATACAAAATTTCATGTTGGCAGGGGTTTACATTTATTCATAATTAGAAAATAATCATAGATAATTTCAGACCTCCATTTGTGTTATGAAGCACATTAAATAGAATGATACGGTGGGGAATGATTAGGGACCACTGTTGCTCAGGTGGTCTGGAAAGGCTTCCCTGAGGATTTGAGGGATGATTTTAACAGATTGGATTTAAGCCCTTGGTCATGAGAATGAGGCAATGATATGAAGATTGGAGGAAGATCCTTTTAAGGAGAAGGAACCGAAAGTGCGAGGGCTGTGAGATGGGAATGAACTTGGGCCTTCGAGGGAGAGAAGAAAGATCAATGTGTCTAATCAACTGTTGTGAGAAATTCAAGAGAGACAAAGGCAGACTGTCTGCAAATAGTTGTTGAATGGCTGAATGACGCAATAGCCCTGGGCATGTGACTTAATATTGCTGAATCACAGATTCCTCATATATAAGTGGCAAGAATTCATAACTGTCACAACAGCTTTTTTGGACAATGATAAAGTATAGAGGGCATGTGACAGACACAAAAGTAAATCCTCAATAAATGCGAGAGCTTTCATTTTAGGCTTGTTGTTTTCAGGCAACCAAACCTTTAATGAACACTTTAGTGCCTAAGCCAGCAAAATGAATGAATCATATAATTTTTGCCTTAATAACATTTATAATTTTCTTGAGGGTATAAAATAAGCTTCTAGACTGTACAGTACCAACAAAATAAAAGTACAGAGAAGGCAGGGAAAAGCATAGTGTAAATAACCTTGGGGAGATAAAAGAGAGTCATTTGGGAGATGTGTAATTTAACTGGCCTTGAACATTGAGTAAGACTTTTTCTTTAAAGGGCCTTCTAGGAGGGAGTGTAAAAACAGGAAAAAACATAGTAGTAAGATTAAGAATGGCACATTCAGGGGAATAGGGAACAGGAGCAAGGTTGTTCTGATTAGTAGAAGCATGTTTCAGTGACGAGGAATAATTGGCAAACTGTGTAGCTAAGGAAATTGAGGGCGAAAAGATCTAAGAAAGCAAAACCTTGAAAGTGAGGAAGAAGAGCCTGAGCTTGAAGCAGTAGGTGTCAGTATTTCCTTAAACAGCATGCCAGGAAGGCGTATGCTGAGCAATTGGAAGAAACGAGACCTTGGAAGGAAAGGATTTGGTAGGATAAGAGCCATAAATCTAAAATGGAAGAAGCACATATGAAGGACAACTTGAAGGGATTAAGCAACACTTAGTGGCAACATTTTTATTTTGACAGTATAGCTACCATGAATTAAGGATGATAATTTCAAGAACTAGACTAACTGCTGCACATTTGTCATCTCTATTAATCTAATGACCTAGGAACCATTATTCAGGTTTTACAGATGAGGAAGTAAAGCTCGCAGAGATTAAGATATTTTTTAAAAAATAATATTTGGGTCTCTTCACCATTGCTAATGAATATCCATGCCTCCTAGAATAAACCAAGATGCTTCTTTTAGCCCTGAAAATCTTAGAAGATTAAGATGAGTTTGGAAAGATTAAAATAGGTTGAGAAGTCACAGCAACAACCACAAGAAGGCTGGGCAATTTTGTAGCCTGCTTCCTCTTGTAATTTATCAGTTCTTCATTCTGCAGCTTCTCTATCCTGACTGGTGACCACAAAGAGAGAGCAGCACTGAGAAGCAATGTCAGTGGATGAGGCTTGTGGAGACTTTTCTTAATGACTTTGGTTGTCAAGGCTTAAGTTATGTTACATTAGTAACAAAATTCTATCTTTATATTTTCTATAGGGACCACTGTTACTCAGGTGGTCTGGAAAGGTCCCCCTGAAGATTTGAAGGATTGGATTTTAAGAGATTGGATTTAAGACCTTAGTCATGAGAATGAAGCAAAGATATGAGAATGAGGAGATATATCTATATCTATATCTATATATATAGATATATATACACACACACACACACAAACATACATATACACACACACACACATCATATAGATTTTTTTGGCAAGTATCTAATATAAATATACTGCCGTGGTCACAGATAATCAATGGTAGGGTGTGCATTTTCATTCGTTTTGTTCTTCTTGTTTGATCCATTCAAAGTTGAGCCTCTGAAGTTTCCAGAATAAATATTAACTAATTAGGTGATAAATTATTAGCTGTCACTGACATGCAGGGCACTATAGTAGGCACTATGAATAAAACAAAAATGGCCTCTTAAGAAGCTTATACACTTAAGCAGCTGAGAATAGTGGCTAGTCAATTACCCAAAGGGCAGGGAGACAGCCCACTGTGATGCCCATAGCCTAAGAATATTCCTTGGAATATGTTCTAAATGCTTTAATCTTTCCTACTCTTTCTCTCTCCAGCTTTGAATGTCTATCTCCATCTGCTATACCCCTTGCTTGTCTCTTTATTTTCACTTTTATTTTCTCCTCCTTAAACCTTTTTCTACCCCTGACTCCATTAATAAGCATATTTCTTAGTATCAGGTTTAAGGAGTAGGTTTTCTACCCCTAGGTATTAATTTTAAATGCAGGCAACTTCAACAGCTTAAGTTTTTTTTTTTAAACCCTTTTTTTTTTTTTTTTTTTTTTTGAGACGGAGTCTCGCTCTGTCGCCCAGGCTGGAGTGCAGTGGCGGGATCTCGGCTCACTGCAAGCTCCGCCTCCCGGGTTCACGCCATTCTCCTGCCTCAGCCTCCCGAGTAGCTGGGACTACAGGCGCCCGCCACTACGCCCGGCTAATTTTTTGTATTTTTAGTAGAGACGGGGTTTCACCGTTTTAGCCGGGATGGTCTCGATCTCCTGACCTCGTGATCCGCCCGCCTCGGCCTCCCAAAGTGCTGGGATTACAGGCGTGAGCCACCGCGCCCGGCCAAACCCTTTTTTTTAAAAAAAAAAAAAAAACCTTGGATTAAGTTACTTTATAGACTTTTTTTGGTCCAATGAACTTTGATTAAAAATATGCTTCCTTATCTCTGACTAATATTATTTGAGGTTTAATTTCCAGATATCTTCTTTTCAATTAGTTTTGTCTAATAAACCCAATCATAGACGTATACACATACACATAGAGATCCCAGGAGTGTTAAACTAAATTTTTAATTTTTCTGGGCATTCAGCCCAGATTGATTTAACTTTTTAAAAATTTTCATTGTGTCCTAGATCCTGTTTTAAAATAGGCAATTTATAATTACTAATTAGCCAGAATATAAAGATACAGAAGATGATTAGCTCATGAAAGCCTTAGTTTTTCTCAAAGATTGAAATCACAGCAATAGATATACACAATGTAAACACTTTCCTATATAATAAAAGCTTGTTTCTTCCCTGGTATTACAGATCCTCTTCATTATTACACACGAATTAACCCTGCTAGAAAATTCAATCATCTTACTAGCCTACTAAATTTTATCTCCCTTTATTTTCTGTTGATCTCTTTTTTTGAGCAGTGAATTAGTTCTGACAGACTGATATGTAATTCATCATTGTTCTTTTATCAGAGTGTTCCCAAAAAGTCACAAAAATAAGAAAATGGCTATTCCATAAATATTTTTACTGGAGATGTAGAAAGTATACTCTGAAAGCTAAGAGGATGTATTTCTCTAAAAATAGCTCCTCAAGGCCCATTTAGTTTTGGACTTGAGATTTAGATAGCTTTTTAAGAGTATACAGCCGGCCTTCCATAGCCACAGGTTTTGCATCCATGGATTTAACCAACCTGGTGACTCCAGGAGGATCCACTGTATGTGTTTTCCTTCCATGTTTGGTTTAATTTGAAGATGCAGAACCTTGTATATGGAAAGTGACTGCACTACCCCATTTTCTATAAGAGACTTGAGCATACATGGATTTTGGTACGCTTAGGGGTCCTGGAACCAACCCTCACCCTGTGGATACGGAGGGTCAACTATATTTAATGGGGTGTTGGTAAAAGTTAAACAAAAAGCCCTGATTTGTGAAGCACGCTAATTTCTGTGGTGTGCTCCCATCATATCTGATTTCAAGCCACCAACCTGAAATCACTAGATGCAAAGTTTCAAAGATGCCCACTAGCCTATTATTACATACTGTCACCACTATATAAAAAAAACTCAAGATAATTAATAATAGTAAAATCTAGTGAAATTATTAAGGAGTGATGAGTTTTGAGTATTTATTGTTTTTGTTTTAAATCTAATTTTAAAAATGTTTAATAATGGCTGTGTTTGACAACTGCTCACAACATTCCTGAAAAATTAACAGTAAACTCTGGAAGCTCATATGAGCTTAACTTCAGCACACCATTGAATCACAGTAGTAAAATGCTTAAGTGATTCCAGAAAAAGAAATTTCAAATTTGTAAATTTGAGTTTCTAGTTCTGCCTAAATGCTCAGAGAACACTTTTAGTGATTTGGACAAAGAAAGGGAAGAAATAGCTAAAGGAAACAAAGAGAGCAATACAATTTTTTAAAGGAAAAAAAAGACATTTGGAAAAAGTGACACATTTAGGAACCCAAGATGGGTGAAGGAGTTGGGAAAATTGTAGGAGAATCCCTATTGTTTGAGTTCAGCTCATCTCCAGTTCATGAATTTATCACTGGCAAACCCTGAGAAATGATGAAATGTATTTCTCAGTTTATGTTCTGTTAACAAAAATACTTCCAAATTTGAGTGGTTTACAGCATCAATGATTAATTTCTAACTCACACAACGTGTCCATGGTGGGTTGACTGTAGTCCTGCCCCATGCTGTTTGTATTCCAGGACCTAGGTAGGTAGAGCAGACTTTATCTGGGACATAGCCTGTCTCATAGCAGAGAGCAAAGAGAGCTGGCTCAACCATGTGCTAGTTTCTAAAACAACACTTGTAGTACCTGCTCCTATTGCACTGGCCAAAGCAATCTATACAGCCATGCTTGATATAGTCAGGATGTCTTCTCTAAAGGAGGAATGTCGAAGGGAGGGAGAGAGCTCTTGGGAGGAACAGCAAATATTTTGAATATAATATGATCTCCCACATGGAGAAAAGAGAAGGTATAAAAAATATGGCAACTGTTGTAGCAGAGGATGCTGGAGTTTCCCAACATTCGTATTCTCCTCTTCTTCTTGATCAGACATTGTTTAGGCTCCGTTAAAGGCAGGAGTGGACACACAAGTGAGTTCTGGCTAAGGCCAGAGTCTTTCGGCCAGAGTTGCCACTTCTGTTTACCTTTCCTTGGCCAAATTAAGTTATATGGCCAAACTTGAGTTCCGCGGAGTGAAGATGTACAGTCTTCTTCCAAAGAGGGCTGTCAAAGGGTGGGGTATCCCAGGGTAGGTAGTGAATATTTTGAACATTAATACAGTCTGCCACATGAAGGATGGAAAAGGTACCAAAAGATGTTGTGGCAGAGGCTCTCGTGTTCTCCTTATGACCCCACATGTGCAATCCTCTATCTCCTTCCCCATCTGCCCACTGACTGGAACAGGTGCCGGGAAACAAGTGGAGAGCAGACCCCCAAGATGGAAAGCACCTGAGCCCTTGAAGGATGAGGGCACACGGAACCCTCCTGCCACATTGGATGATGACATGAGTGGGAGAGAAACTCTCATTTGAGAAGCCACTGAGATTTCAGGCTGTCTTGTTATTGTTGCGACAGCATGACTGTATTAGTCAGGGCCCTCTAGAGGGGCAGAACTAATAGAAGAGATGTAGATAGGAAGGAGAGTTTATTAAGGAGCGTTGACTCACATGACCACAAGGTGAGGTCCCACATATAGGCTGTCTGTAAGCTGAGGACAAGGAAGCCAGTCCGAGTCCCAGAACTGAACTTGGAGTCTGATGTTGGAGGGCAGGAAACATCCAACACAGTAGAAAGATGTAGGCCAGAAGACTAAGCCAGTCTAGACTTTCCACATTCTTCTGCCTGCTTTCATTCTGGCTGTGCTTGCAGCTAATTAGATTGTGCCCACCCAGATTGAGGGTGGGTCTGCCTTTCCCAGTCCACTGACTCAAATGTTAATCTCCTTTGGCAACACCCTCACAGACACACCCAGGAACAATACTTTGCATCCTTCAGTCCAATCACTATTAACTATCACAATATACCTAGTTTGCTTTAACAAATACAGGTTGCTCCTGAAATTATAAATGAGTAAGTATGATATCAATCCCTTTGAACACTGTGGATTTAAAAATTACCTCCACAAAAATATATTCATCCTGATCTCTGGAATCTATAAATGTTACTTTATATTAAAGCAGGGTTTTTGCAGGTGTGATTAAAGATGTCACGATGGGGAGATTGTTGTAGATTATGAGGGTGGACCCTAAATACCATCGTATGTAACCATGTAAAATGTAGTCAGAGGGAGATTTGAACACAGACAGAAGAGGAGATTTTGATTTCAGCTCAGTGATAGTGATTTAAGACTTCTGACCTCTAGAACTGTGAGAAAGTAAGTTTCTGTTCTTTTTTTTTTTTTTTTCTGAGACGGAGTCTTTCTCTGTCACCTAGGCTGGAGTGCAATGGCACGCGATCTCAGCTTACTGCAACCCCCGCCTCCCGAGTTCAAGCAATTCTCCTGTCTCAACCTCCTGAGTAGCTGGGATTACAGGCGCGTGCCACCACGCCCGGCTAATTTTTGTATTTTTAGTAGAGATGGGGTTTCACCATGTTGGCCAGGCTGGTCTCATACTCCTGACCTTGTGTTCCACCCACTTTGGCCTCCCAAAGTGCTGGGATTGAGCCACAGTGCCTGGCCAAGTTTCTGTTCTTTTAAGCAACCACATTTGCAGTAATTTGTTATAGCAGCCATAAAAAACCAATACAAGCACCAAGATAAAGTGATGACAGGGAACCAAGTGTCAATGTTCAGTCTCAATAAGGTTATGTCCAAAAGAGAACATGTTAGGAGATGTTAGGTAGAACACTTTCAAGTTTTCTTATAAGACTTTATAAAACTCACAAGTCTTATAATTTATAAACTTAGTTCATATGATTTCAAACCATCCCAAAGTCTGAGAGCAGGAATAATAATAATTACCTCATCTAAAATCTCCAGTCTCCTAATTTTACATGTAAAAAGAAAACAGACCTAGAGATGTTATCAGACTTGTTTCCAATTAAACAGCTTTGTCTTTGAGTCAGTAGTAGAATGTAATTTTTCCAACTCCTAATCCTCAAGGACATTAAAATTGCAAAAGCAAAGCTAGGGGTTTGTGTGTGTGTGTGTATAGGTAGGAGGAGAGTATGTGAAGCCTCCCCTCAAGTGCATTGCAGTGGCTCCTGTGATGAGCTACCACATCCTGCCCTTCAGGACAGAAGCATTTATTCACCAGTAGCTGAGTGCTGGCAACTGACACCTCATAGCCCCCTCATTTGAAGTGAGGCCTTCGTCCACAGTCATGCTGGAGCTATTTTTAATTTTTTGAGAAACGTTCATACTGTTTTGTTTAAATGGCTGTACTAATTTACAGTATCACCAACAGTATATCAGGGTTCTCTTTTCTCCATATCTTTGCCAACACTTGTTATCTGTCATCTTTTTGATAATGGCCAATGTAATAGGTGTGTGGTGATTGCTTATTGTGGTTTTGATTTGCATTTCTCTGATTAGAGATGTTGAACATTTTTTTCAGATATCTTTTGGAAATTTGGATGTCTTATTTTTAAGTCTTTTGCCCATTTTGAAATAGAGCTATTTGTTTTCTTATTAAGTAGTTTGAATTCCTTGTATGTTTTGGATATTAGCCCCTTAGCTGATGCAAGATTTGCAAATGTTTTCCCTAATCTATGGGTTGTGTATTCACTCTATTGTTTTCTTTGCCGTGCAGAAGCTGTTTAGTTTGATGTAATCCCATTTGCATATTTTTGCTCATGTTGCCTGTGATTTTGTGGTCATACACATCACTGCCCAGACCAATGTCACAAAGTTTTTCCTCTGTGTTGTCTTCTAGTAGTTTTATAGTTTCAGGTCTTCCATTCAAATCTTTATCCATTTTGAGTTGATTCTTGTATAAGTGTGAGATAAGGGCCCATTTTCATTTTTCTGTACATGAATATCTAGTTTTCCTAACACCACGTAGTGAAGAGTGTTCTTTCTCTATTGGGTGTTCTGGGCATCTTTGTCAAAAATCATTTGGCCATAGATATGTGAGTTTCTTTCTTGGCTCTCTATCCTATTTCATTGGCTAGTATGTTTGTTTTTATGCCAGTATCATGTTGTTTTAGTTACTATAGTTTTGTAATATATTTTGAGATCACATAGTGTTGATGCCTCTAGCTTTCTTCTTTTTGGTTAAGATTGCTTTGGCCATTCTGGGTCTTTTGTAGTTCCACATAAATTTTAGGATTATTTTTTCTATTAATGTTTTTGTTAAGAATGAGTTTGGAATTTTGTTAGGGATTGCATTGAACATGCAGATTGCTTTGGAATGTTGTTGTTGTTTTTTAGTTTTCGTCTTGCTTATCAGCAGTATTTAATAAAGATGATCACTTTGCTTCATTGAAACACTTTCTCTGTGTGTCCAGAATTCTACGTGCTCTTGGTTTTCTCTTTCTTCTCTGGCTCTAGTTTCTTAGCTTTGTGATTACCCAGGAAATAGACTTTGGGCTTCATTTTTCTCTATCTACATTTTTCCCCTTGATATTTCATTCAAGTTCATGGTTTTCTTTCTTAATTTTTTAGATACAGAGTCTTGTTCTGTTGCCCAAGTTGGAGTGCAATGGTGCAATTATAGCTCACTGAAACCTTGAACTCCTGGGCTCAAGCAATCCTCTCACCTCAGCCTCCAGAGTAACTAGAATTACAGGTGTGTGCCACCATGCCCAGCTAATTTTTTAACTGTTTTTCATAGAGATGGGATCTTGCTGAGTGGTCTCTGGGCTCAAGCAATCCTTCCACCTCAGCTTCCCAAAGTGCTGAGACTATAGGCATGAGCCACCATATCCTACCAAGCTCATGGCTTTAAATGTTACTGACATGCTGACACCTTTCAAATGTATTATTAAAAACCTAATCTCTCCACTGAAGTCCAACTACCATTGCAACATCTGTACTGAAACATCTACTAAGTGTCTCAAATTTAACTTTTCAGAATGTAAACTCCTGATTTTTCCATGCAATCTGCTATACCTAGATCTTAATGGAGTTATGCTTCACGTCTTTTCTCTCACATCCCACATTTGATCCAACAGCAAATCCTATATGCATTATCTTTAAATTGTATTTAAGATCTGACCACTTTTCAACATCTTCTCTGCTTCTGTCCTGATTTGACACCACCTTCTTTCTTCTGGATGACTGCATTAGCCTCCTAAATTTCTCCCTGATTCTATTATTTTCCCCACTGCAGTCGGTTATTTGTACAGCAACAACCAGAGTGAAGCTTAAAAATGTCAAATTGTATTATTTACTACTGAAGTCCCTCCAATATTCCCATCTTATTCAGAGTAGAGGCCAAAATTTGTAAAATGGTGTCTTTGGACTTTATGTCACGTAGACCCTGATGGTATTTGTGACCTCATCTTATACTCTCTACTTACTCACTTTGATTCTGCCTCTCTGCTGTTACTCAAACACTCTAGCAAGTGCCTGCTCAGGGCCTTTGCCCCTGCTGTTCCCACTACCTAGAATCCTCTTCCCCAGACAACTGTGTGGCTCATCAATTCACCTTTCTCAGCCATTATTCAAATGCTACTTTCTCAGTGCAGCCTTCTTGGACCACTTTATTTAAAATTGCATACATCTCCCAATCCACCAATTAAACATTCCCCAGGCTCCTTCCTGTTTTTTATTTAAATAGTACATAATCACCATTTAACATAATACATTAAACTAAAAATATTACATATCTGGAGGTAAAAGTGCTGATTTCTTACATATGTAATATGTAAGAATATAAATATGTAACATTTATATGTATGTAAGAAATATATACATATAAAAAATACATATTTGATTTATATATCCATTCATCTTCTCTCCTTGAAATGTAAGCTCTATGAAAGAAGAAATTTGTCTGTTTACTGTTATGCCATTAGTACTTGGAGTAGTGAGTGGCACATAATAGGGACTCAATAAATACTGACTGAATGTATATAGTGTATAGTTTGGAATAAAGACCTCAAGTGGTGACGCTCGTATACCCACTTCCCCATTCACCTTATTCCACTCCCATTCATTGCCTCTTCACTCCTGTGATGAAAAAACATCAAATTCACTTTCCAAACAGTAGATTTGACTCCTACTGTTCTGCTTACTCTTAGTGCATTCTTGAGCAAGTTGCTTAATTTCTCTGCCTCATTTTCTTTATTTCTTCATTAAACAATATAATAGCAACCTTGCATGGTTGTTCTGACAATAAAATAAGAGGGTATATCTACAGTACAAATATGAGGTTTATTTTCTTTTTTTTAGATTTTTAAAAATTTTTTAAATTTTTTTATTTTTAATTTTATTATTATTATACTTTAAGTTTTAGGGTACATGAGCACAACGTGCAGGTTTCTTTTTTTATTATGAATTGCTGTTCACACTTGGAAATGCCTTGTTTGGGGGACATATATTTAGCCTATATCTTTTCTTTGAAATTTTGAATATTGTGCTTTTTATTAAAAAATAAACACAATGAAGAGTGATAGAATGTTACGTAGACCGCTTTACAGCACTACTTGTTCATGGTCACGTATTTTCAATGATGACTATAATGAACAAACATTCTAACTGCAGGATACTTCAGGGAGTACTGAAGAGTGTCAGGTAGAGTTGGAACTACATAGAGACTGCACAGAGAGGGAGGTTCTCTCTTATGAAAAACAAGACAGTAATATTCTGGCAGGATATGAAGATAAGGTTATGTAAGACAAGAGGCTTAAAGAAGAGAGATAATAAGCCAACTGATTGCATATTATATTCATAAAAGTCTACTGTTTTCTCATCCTTGCAATGACTACTAATAGATTTATACTTAAAAAGGAGTAGGGAGTATCATTTGTTATTTTGGTTTTGTAGCAGCCATTCTCCCTTATTTACAACATCCAGGTTTCATCATGGGGATTACCCTTGTCCCTGAGGTGGAGTCCTGGTGGCATTGCAATCAAAGTGCTGTGCCTTCCCATAGGACAAGCAAGTAAGGGAGGAACAAATAACTCCTGGGAAGTCCCTTCACCCAGATATTTCCTCTCTTCAGAGTGATACACCCAAGGGCAGGTACCTTGCAAACATGCAGTCAGGAGGACTCTTTCATAGACTAGAACCATTGTACAGAGTAATATAAGCAGGGATACTTTTTAGAGTTCCATTATTCCCACGATGTTGGTTGGAAGAGAAGGTGAGTAGTTCTTGCCTTCCAGAATCCCAGAGGAGCCCTTTATCCTGCCCATATCTAAGCCTAGTTTTCCAGCCTCAACTTCTTTCTGTGAGCTGCCCATTATTTTTTCAATGAATTCTCCCCTTTAAAAAATCCTAAGAAAGTCACTAAGATGATGAAATAGGATATATCAGCCATCATCCCTCCACACACAAAAAAACACAAATATAGGGACAGCTATCTACAAATCAAAACATCCCTGAGAGGGCTCAGGAGCCCATTAAATAATTTTTATCCACAAAGTAGAGTGAAAAAACCTCATAAAACAACGACGACGACAACCACAACCAAACAACAACAAAATGGAGAATACCTACACAGAATAGATTGCTGGTGAGATTGGAATACTTGAGATGCAAGAGACTACTAATAACACAGAAAGGCAGAGGTTATTGATATCAGCCACATGGTGAAAACTACCATGGTTCCCAATGGGACTTGCTCCACAGAGGACACCAGCACACCAGCATATTTTGCCACTGAGGTAACCAACAGCCACTTCTGCCAGGGAGCTCCCCAGAGAGGGAGTTATAGCTGCATAATCCCCTGCTGCAAGAAACAGCCTTTGTTGAGCCATTTCAAGAAAGGAGCTGCAATCTCTCTTAGCCCCCCAAGAGTTGCTAGATTTATATATCAGATAAAATAGACATTAAGTCAAAATCTGTAATATGAGACAAAAAAGGTCATTATATAATGATAAAGGGATCAATTCATCAAAAAGTTATAACAATGATAAAGGCACTCAACATTGGAGCACCTAAATATGTAAAGGAAATACTAATAGATCTGAAGAAAGAGATCAACTACAAGACAATAATATTAGGGGGCTTTAGTAGCCCATTTTCAGCAATGGACAGATCATTCAGACAGAAAATCAAAGAAACACTGGACTTGAACTGCGTTTTAGACCAAATGGACCTAATAGACATATACAGAACATTCCATCTAACAGCAGTAGAACACACATTCTTATTTAGTGCACACAGAACATTCTCCAGGGTAGATCCCATATTAGACTACAACACATGTCTTAACAAATTCAAAATGACTGAAATTATATCAAGTATCTTTTCTGACTACAACTATAAGAAACTAGAAATCAATAATGGAAAGAATTTCAGAAAATTCAAATGTGTGGAAATCAAACAATATACTCATCAGGAAACTAAAAGGAAAATTTAAAAAATATCTAAAGACAACAAAACTTATAGGATGCAGGAAAAGCAGTTTTAACAGAGAAGTTTTTAGCAATACATGCATGCATTAAAAAAGAAGAAAGAACCCAAATAAACAACCTAATATCACATCTCAAAAAACTAAAAAAAAAAAAAGAGAAAAAACTAAGCCCAAACTGAGTAGAAGGATGGAGTAGTAAAGTTCAAACCAGAAATAAATGAAATAAAGGCTAGAAAAACAAAAAAGATCAACAAAACTAAGAGTTGCATTTTGAAAAAGGTAAACAAAATTGATAAACCTATAGCTAGATGAGCTAGAAAAAAGACGGAGATTCAAATAAAAATAATTGAAAGTGGGGCATTACAACTGATAGCACAGAATTACAAAGAACCATAAGAGACCACTAAGAAAAATACACCAACAAATACACCAACAAATTGGATAACTGAGAATAAATGGATAAATTCCTAGATACATACAATTTACCAAGACTAGATTATGAAGAAATAAAAAACCTGAACAGATCAATAACAAGTAAAAAGATTGAAACAGTAATAAAAAGTCTTTCATTAAAGAAAAGCTCAGGACCTGATAGATTCATTGCCGAATTCTACCAAACATTTAAAGAACAGTATTCCTTCTCAAACTCTTTAAAAAGTTGAAGAGGAGGGAAAACTGCCAAACTGATTTTACAAGGCTTAGTATTACCCTGAAATCAAAGCCAGACAAGGATATCAGAAAATTAGAGGACAATATCCTTCATAAATAGATCTGAAGAGATGCAAAGTCTTCAACAGAATACTAGTAAACCAAATTTAACAGCACATTAGAGGAATCATTCACCATGATCAAATAAATGTATCTTTGGTATGCAAGGATGGTCACAAATTTATAAATGTGATATATCACATTAATATGAGGAAGTACACAAGCCGTATGATCATCTCAATTGATGGAGAAAATGCATTTGACAAAATTAGACATCTTTCACGATAAAAAAACTTTCAAGAAATTAGGTATAGAAGGAATTTATTTCAACAACAACAAAAAAATGCCTTATGAAAGCCCATAACTAGCACCACATTCAATAGTGAAAAGTTGAAAGCTTTTGTGTAAGATAAGATCAGAAATAAGACAAGGATACCCACACTCATCACAACTATTTGACATAGTACTGGAAATCCTAGCCAGATCAATTAGACAAGAAGAAGAAATATAAGGCATTCAAGTCAGAAATGAAACAGTTAAATTGACTCTGTTTACAGACAATGTAATCTCATATACAGAAAACCCTAAAGAACTTCACCAAAAAGCTGTTAGAACTAATAAACAAATTCAGTAAATTTGCAGGATACAAAATAAACATATGTAAATCAATAGCATTTCTATACACTAACACAAATTATCAGATAAAGAAACCATGAAAACAATCCCATTCACAATGGCTACAAATAAAAAGTAAAATATTTAGGAATAAATTTAACCAAGGAGGTGAAAGACCTGTACATTGAAAACTATACAGCATTGATGAAAGACATTGAAGAAGGCATAAATAAATGGAAAGATGGCCCATGTTCATGGGTTGGAAGAATTAATATTGTTCAAATGTTCATAGTATCCAAAGCTATCTACAGATCCAAAGAAACCCTTATCAAAATTCCAATGACATTTTTCACAGAAATAGAAAAATCAATCCTAAAATTTGTGTGAAGCCATAAAATACACAGAATAGCCAAAGCAATCCTGAGTAAAAAGGACAAAACTGGAATCATCACATTATCTGATTTCAAAATGTACTACAAGACTATAGTAATTAAAACAGCATGGTACTGGCATAAAAGTAGTCACACAAACCAACGGGACAGAATAGAAAGTACAGACATAAACCCAAACATTTATGGTCAAATAATTGTCCCCAAAGATACCAAGAACACCTGATGGGGAAAGGGCAGTCTCTTCAATAAAGGGTATTGGGAAAACTGAATATCCAAAGGAAGAAGGATGAAATTAGACCCTCAACTCATACCATATGTAAAAAATCAAATCAAAATGGATTAAAGTCTTAAACATAAGACTTGCAACTATAAAACTACTGAATAAAATATAGAGAAAAGCTCCATGACATTGGTCTGGGTAATAATTTCTCTGGATATGATCCCAAAAGCACAGCCAATATGAACAAAAAAAGACAAATGGAATAATAACAAACTAAAAATCTTCACAGCAAAGGAAACAATCAAGTGAAGAGATAACCCATGGAATGTGAAAATATGTTTGCAAACCATCCATCTGATAAGACGTTAATATCCACAATTCATAAGAAACTCAATGGTAAGAAGCCAAATAATTAGATTTTAATATAGGCAAAGAATCTGAATAGATTTTTCTCAAAAGAAGACATGCAAGTGATCAACAGGCATATGAAAAAATGCTCAACATGACTAATCATCAGGAAAATGCAATTTAAAACCACAATGAGATATCACCTCATAGCTGTTAGCATGGTTATTATCAAAAACACAAAAGATAAGTGTCGGTAAGGATGTGGAGCAAAGGGAACCCTAGTACACTGTTGGTGGGAATGTAAATTAGTACAGCCATTTTTGAAAACTGTGAAGGTTCCTCAAAATATTAAAAATGGAACTACCATATCGTCCAGTAATACCACTATGTGGCATATATCCAAAGGAGATGAAATTAGTAAATTGAAGAGATATTTTCACTCCCATGTTCACTGCAGCATTGTTCACAATAGCCAAGATGTGAAATCAACCTAAGTGTTCACCAGTGGATGAATGGATAAAGAAAATGTAGTATATATACAAAGAAATACTATTAGCCTCTTCAAAGAAAATCCTGTCATTTGTGGCAACATGGAAGAACCTGGAGGACATTGTGTTAAACGAAATAAGTCAGGCACAGAAAGACAAACACCATATGGAAACTAGAAAAGTCAAATTCATAGAATCAGAGTAAAATGGTGGTCACCAGAGGCTGGGAAATGGGTGAACTGGGGAAATGTTGGTCAAAGTACATAAAATTTTAGCTGGACAGACGAAATAAGTTCGAGAGATCTATTATATGTCATGGTGACTATGGTTAATAAACAATAGGTTGTATACTTGAAAATTGCTGAGTGTAGAATTTAAGGGTTCTCACCACAAAAAAAGATGTGTGAGGTAATACAGATGTTAAATACCTTGTTTTAGCCATTCTACAAAACATAATGTGGTATGCCATAAATATGTACAATTTTTACTTGCCAAAAAATAAAATAATCTTAAATTACTAGTGTTGGTTTCTATAGCTTGTAAATAGATGAATTGGGATATAGCAAGATCAAAATATGAGAAAAGATAATCTCTGTAGATCACTCAACAGTCTCAACTGTCACAGGCCACTCTCAGCTTGCTCTGTCAAGATATTATCCTCCTGCAGCATTAAGCAGTGGATTGTTTCTATCATCCACACAAAATTCCTACCTTACATCTTTCCGTTGTAAAAAAATGCTCATTATAAATAGTGTAAAAGAATAATATGCTTTGTAGATGACATTTTCCCAGAAAAGGCCAAAAGTACATACGGATATGTAGTAGTTACAATTCCTCTTTGCTCTGTCTTTTCGCCAATTGCAATGTATTAACAAAAATGCAGAGACAATATGGAGAGTAGGGCCTTGTTAATATAGAGGAAAAAACCAGATACAGAATAGGGAATCTAATAGACCTATAGTCACTGCTTTCCTTATTCCTGTTCTTTAATTTCTCTATCCCCCTCCTCTTTGCCAATAAGAATCTTACCATTATCACACAGAACATGCTGTTGACTTTAAGTATCAATTTCAAGTAAAATAGCTTGAACGTTAAAATGTGGACATAAAAAATTAGGTTTTGAACATACCTATTTATTGAAATTTGGTAAAATAAAGGAATGGAAGAGATATAAGAACAAATAAAGAGCAAAGAAAGTACAAAGGATATAACACTAGAAGAGATGCCAAGTAAATTCTGAAGACAGGAAAGATGGTAGATAAGCAATAACTATGTTATTAAAATTAGAGAAAACCAAGAATTGCAGATTAATTTCCACTAACAAACCCTGAGTAGGCTCAAAAGGAGAGGTATCAGGTCATTGTGCAGGTGAGGACATGGGCAGCAATGAGAAAAGAGTGTTGGTTAGCAGTCTTTAAGGAGTAGTGAAACTCTGCAGATTCTTGCTGTAGTGGCCAAGTTTTTTGTATATAGTAGATAGTTGACAATTTTTATTAATTGAAATTGCATGGCTTTGTAGTAAATTTTCACTGACATTTGACAAATAAAGGTTGTTTTTAAAACCCAAGAGAAGATAAGTAACACTTGATTAAAGGTGCTTTGGATTCTATGCACAAACATACTATAGGATGTGTCTATGAAATAATGGTGGAGGACACTGAGAGAAAGAGAAAATGTAATTGGTAAAGCTGAGTGACAGGTGCATGGGATTCATTTCACTATTCTCTTGATTTTTTCATAATAAAAAGAAAAATTTTAAGTGCTTAAATAAAAGCTCCAAAGTTGGCAAAGTCTACTTATTGCTTTACCTCTTCTTCTCTGGAACTAACCTGAGTATTGACCTTAAATGAGCAACCCATTTAAGAGAACAACTAGTTCATTCTGCCTGGTGCTATTGTTTCCCACAAAAATGCATTGTTTGAGGTTGGGCTGCCTATGTCTTACAAGTGGTTTAACGTGGAGGAACTTGTGGCTACACTTGAGTGGAGGGTGGTTACTGTATCACTGAAAGAACAACTGAAATCACCTGAGTCTAGGAACAGACAAGAAGAGAGCAAAAGAGGGACAGGTTCCTGCAAATGACAGAGTGGTCTTTTACAGTCCCTGTGAAGACTGCACAAATTACCTTTGGGATGTTGTGTCTGTTCATTTCTGAATTGTGAATGGGCTTTTACTTCTTAAGAGATACAGGTGTTATTCATCATTACAAGCCTGATTCTTTAGAGAGCTGAGATCTGGTCTTAACACATCATACTATATTTAATAAGAATAAGCATCTCAGGATTAGGATATAAATCTTACTTGTTTAGAAAATTCTAGAATAAGGGGAGCTTAGAAATGGGAATGAGAAAGACAGGCATCAAGTAAGAGAGACAGAAGATGGATGGGAGCGAGATGGTAGGAAAGGGAAGGAAATGACATATTTTCCTTTCAAGTCTGTGCCTAGATCTTATTTTGAGTACAGTAATTTGATTCATGCTTATACTCTGTGTCTGATTTATTACTGATTTCATCATGAGTGCCCAGCTCCACTGGCTCTTGCCCATTTGTCTCTAAGGTAGTGAAACCACCATCCACACAATGACTGTACCAGTTGACCCTGTTAGCACTTTTAACTTTCCACTTAAACATCTCCTTTTGCTAGTTATTTTTAGATTTATAGTTGTATGGGATATGTACATTGTATAGCAATATGATACCTATGGAATGTTCTGCACTGTGTAAATCAATCACCATAATAGCATCTCTGGGTGAAACCAGGGGCAGAGAGGACAGGATGAAATGGGGACAGAGAATGGAATAGAGGATATGGGCAACAAAATGTGACAGACAGGGGTGAAAATATGGCTGGAAAAAGTACTTAGGAATTGAGAACAAAGAGTGATCATGGAGGGGGTGAAAAATGAATTTTTAATGAGAGAGTAAACTAAAAATGAAAATTTAAGCATGAATAAGGACAAATGTGTAATTAAGAGAGAAAGTTATTCTACAGACCAAGGAGCATTGGAAGACAAACTGTAAGTGGATTTTTGCATAACTGTACCTGGGATTTAATAAAAAGAAAGAATATGAAATCTCACTTATTCACAGTGTATTGTGAATGCATCTCAATAAAGGAAGTCTTTGATGATATTCTACAGACTGGCAGAGAAAATAATACAAAAATTTGGGGCAATAGAATGCCTTGGTTGCCAGGGACTGGTGAAAATTCGTTATGATTAAGAATGAAAAAAGGCCGGGTGCGGTGGCTCACACTTGTAATCCCAGCACTTGGGAGGCTGAGGCGGGCGGATCACATGAGGTTGGGAGTTCGAGACGAGCCTGACCAAAATGAAGAAACCCCATCTCTACTAAAAATACAAAATTAGCTGGGCATAGTGGCACATGCCTGTAATCCCAGCTACTTGGGAGGCTGAGGCAGGAATCTCGGTGAGCCGAGATCACGCCATTGCACTCCAGCCTGGGCAACAAGAAGAAAACTCCGTCTCAAAAAAAAAAAAAAAAAAAAAAAAAGAATAGTAATCAAATGTTCTTGTGAATAAATAAAAAAAATTAACAAAGTTTGAGGCTTATATCAGGGTAAATAAAATACAAAAGTAGTCCTCAAATGAGAGTTTTGGAGGAAAAATTACTCTTCTAAATTTTCTCTATTAAATTGTTGAACACTGGACTATATTGTCTTCTTATTGTTTATAAATTATGGGAAAACTCCTTTAGATGCATGGTACCTATTTATCTGTGTATTTGGTATTCTGCC
Organism: Homo sapiens; assembly: GCF_000001405.40. NCBI lineage: Eukaryota > Metazoa > Chordata > Mammalia > Primates > Hominidae > Homo > Homo sapiens. Next base: position 72,366,424 of record NC_000013.11, on the reverse strand, counting down.
TAAGCATTCCCTGCTTCTATTATGTCTCTTGAGTTAATAAAGAGAAAAAAAAATTGAGCCACCACCAATAACATGTAGAAGAGTATTACATGCAGTGATGCACTGCCAAGACCCTTTTGATGATTTATTTTACCTCTTCAGAATAACTTGATTTTAAAAGACCAGTAATTAAAGGTTAGCTTTAATTATGGAATAATCTTCACTTTGTCATTTTCTTCTTAAGACATTCAACAATTGTGTTTTTTACTACCAAAGTTTCATGCTTGGTTTTAAGCAGAATTATAGTAATCGTTTTAGAATTTTTAATTAGATGAATAATAATTGAGATGAAGGCTCTTTAGCTAATTTCCCTAAAAGTTAACTTGCTACTAAATAAGCATGAAAGATATTTTGTTTCCATTATATTATTATATTAATACTTATACCAGTTAAAGTTTAAACAGCTTTCAAGGACAAAATTCAATGTCTTAACATGAAAATAAAAAAGATTTACATTGTTCCTTGTCATTAACTTTATTTAAATTGTATGCTTTACTAATTTTTAAATGAATTACTTTGTTTTCAATTACATTTGAAAAACTAGGTGAGATTCCAGATGTAGTATTTAAAGCTATGGACATATGACAGATATCTGAGACAAAATAACCATGGATAATTTTCATTGAACTGTGTTAAATAATGCACTGATAATCTATTGATCTAAGAATGATTAAATTGATTTTCGATTGTGTCTGTCTTTGTGTAACATTTTTTTCCTCCAACAACATAATCCCCTATAGAAAACAGACAAAATAAAATTGAAACTATATTCCTAATGTTTGCAGATTTTCTTTAACCAGAAAATATAATTTTAAATTAAATATAAATTATAGTTTAAAATATTGCTGTACATGAAACATAATTGTTTTAAGCCAAAATTGTTCATATAGTTTGTCTTTTTGTATTGAAGCCAAATTTTCCTGAAAAACTGTTGTAAAATGATTGTATTGGTTAAAGTACAAATTATAAAAATGAGGCTTGACTTTTTAAAACTTTAGTTGTATTAAACAACTTCCTGTAAGACAAGTTTCAGCAGATCAGCACAAAATTTTCTTAATTTCATTACAGTCTGTAAATTAAAATTAATGAGTCTGACACCCACAATTAACAATGAAAAATGCAGATTGTTGTAATTACTTAAGCAATAACATTGCTTTACATAGAAGACTTAAGGTGCTCCACAAATTATTTACAAGTGTTACATAAAACACAAAAAAATGACAATTTCAATTTATTTTGTCAATGCAAAAAACCAAAATCCTTACTAAAACCTTTCTCGTTTGGGAATCTCTCGCCATGCATAATTAAGCAAATTTGATTGCAATTAAGCCTGGCTTCTACAGTAGAGTTTTAATTAATGCAAATCTGGCATCTACATCTATAAGATTAATTTTAGTGAATTAAAAGAAAACAACAAAGCACATTTGAAAGTGCAGTTATATTGTTGAAAGGACAGAATTTAAAAGCTGGTTATTTTTCAGCCTTCCATGTGTGTAGCCTTTGACTTAGACTTTAAAGAGTGGATATTTTATTCAGATTTGTTGTTTTATTTTTAAATGCCTTATTAAACAAGATCATCAAAATTATACAAAGCCACTTCAGAGAGGTATCTTAAAAAATCAGTATACCTTAGGAGTAAAGTACACACACGTACACACACACACAAACTTACACACACACACACATATACACGAGCCTTTGCAGAAATAGATGTGAACTCATCCACAAATATATGAATACATAGACTTTATTTGGCATGTTTTAAAACATGTTTAATGTTTACATCTCAAATTTTAAAATATCAGTGGGGTACCATTGTTGAGGACATATTCTTTTTAATAACAGTGCTTGAAGTAGAATATTAGCTAAAGTGTATTAGTAACTTGTATTATCACGTACATATTTGTTAACACTATTTGATGTAATTTTATTTAATTTTCCATTGAAGCTTTCTCACTTCATATTTGACAGAAATATAGATGTTCTTGAACACATTAAAATGATGAAGTATCCTAAACTAATACATGACATGATTTGGAAAGAAAGATTTTGATCTTCTAAAGTTCCTGGTTATTATTTTAACAATCATTTGTCCTGAAAAATCATTTGCTATTAGAAAAGGAATTTCTTGATATCTAAAATTTCATGCCTTTTTTCATATAATACATTGATGAGGTGGCTATAAATATGGGAATATTTCTACCTACATTTTGGCCAAGGCCCTTATACCCCAGATGATGGAGAAATTAGGACAGTGCAGGACTTGTAAGGGAGCTGGAAGACCACAAATATTATAAGCCTCAGCCAATACTAACTTCAAAAATATGAAAAGTGTCAAAGTGGGAGAGTAAAGAGGCTAATCTTTGGAAAATGTTAAAGTAGTGTGACATTTTCAGTTTTCCTGACCCTCAAAGGGAGGACCTCTTCTCCCTTACCCATAGCCTTGTAAGAGGCAGGGTTTTGAGAAGATTATTTGAGGAGATTGACAATGATCCTGAAATTGAGGGGCTGGTGTTGACTTAGGTGAGTGCTCAAAGGCAAGAGGCAGAGTAAAGAGAGAGAAACTGGGCTTTACTGAGGGATAGCTATGTTCAGCATTTCACAGAAAACATTGTCCTGGCCAAGAGAGCTACCAGGAAGCCCCACACCTGAGAAACACACTAAGGTGCCAGTGAGGAAGAGTCAGCTTTGCCCATGTGCAGAGTCCGGAGAGTGTTGACTTTAAAAACTGTCCAACCTCAGAAGTCTCCATCGCCATTTGCCTTATTGTCAGTCAAGTAAAACCCATTCCTACCTATTACCTGCTCTGTCTCCCCCACTAACCTAGAAATCCAGAAGCATTTTGGAGGGAAAAGAGGGCAAAGGATATAAATAAAAGGTTAGTAAACAGAAAAGAAGTCACTGGCCCCCTTTTTGCAGCAGTTCCAACCAGTGCACAAAGCTTTAACATTAAATGAGATTTGGACTTTTAACTATGACACAGACTGTGAATTTTCACTACTGAGATGTGATGGGACCACTTTTTTTTAAATTAAAAGTGGCATTACTTATTTTTTGAGAGGCACAAAAAAGTCATAGAATCAAGGAATAGAGACTATCTGGTAATGCTGAGAGGCTCTGAATAGGCACCCTATGAATTCTGTTAGCCAATTACATGAACAAGGTAACTTTGGTCGGTCAAGGTCATGTCAATAACAAGTAAAATTGTAATCATAACTAGTTATTGAGCACTTACATGACACTGATTTCAGTCTACAATGATGTCAAAACTATTTTGTCTTTTAAAATGGATTTCTGTGAATTAATTACTAAAAGGGCTTTAGATTATATATAAATATATATATCATATATTTATATCATCTATATCATATATATGATACATATATAAATCATATATGTCATATACTATATATAAAGGTTTTAGATTATATAATACATATATTATATATATTTAGAGCCTATATATAGTGTATCTCTCTCTGTGTGTAGTTTATATGTAATTTTTTACCTTAAAACTTTTGTTTTAAAATGATTCTGGATTCACAGGAAATTGCCAAATAGAATATCACGAAATCCTATGTAGCCTTAACTGTATTTCTGTCAATGGTAGCATCTTACACAATTATAGTACAATATCAAAGCAGGAAAATTCATGTTAGAATCCACAGACATTACGCAGAATCCACAAAAGTTATGCTCTTTTTTAGTATTTCTTCTACCTTCTATGCTTTAGTGTACCACCCTCTCAATTAGACAATTTTAAATTTATGGGATACCTATGTATTAGGCATTATGTGAATAAGAGTATTGCCATACATGGGCATTCACAGTCTACAGGGAGAGGAAGACTCATAATAAAGAATTACCATATTTCATGTAGTCTAAGACACCCTCAATTGTAAGATGCATCATTATTTTATTTGACACTGAAAAATTATGCCAAATAATAACACTTTTGCCATTATAAGAGACCTCTTGATTTCAGAGATGTTAAAATGTAAAATTTTAAAAAGCACATCTTAAAATTGACAATATGCAATATAATAAATACTATAATCGAGATATTAGTATAATATTATAGAACATCATTGAAGGAGCAATTTGTTTCCTCAGGTGGGTGATGGCTGAGAGAGGCAGAGAGAAATGTGGTGCAAGAGAAAAAATTTAAAAGACAGTAGGAGCTTGCCAGATAGATAAAGATAAGAAAGACACTCCAGGATAGAGAACAGCCCATGGAGAGTTAGCCATGAAAATGAGCAGGGCATTTTTCTTGGATATGCAGTGGTTAATACAGAATGTTACTACAATGGTTAATGTATGGAGGCACCAACAAGGAGCTGGGAAGAGGCTGGAAAGGAGGCTGAAATCCATTGGTGGAAAGGCATACATGCTACTCTAATGAGGATGGACTTCATCGTGTACTCATTGTGGGAGTATTTAAGCAGCAAAGTGGCATAATCTATGTTATGGAAAGTAAAATCTTGCAACAATGTAAGAATGAATTGTAGGAGAAAGATTGGTGGAAAGACATATTTTAAGTGGTTGGTATCTGGTATATAAAATTAATCACCATTAGGAATCTAGATTAGACACTGGGTTTTTTTCTTAAGAAGAAAAGGTGTTTAGATAAAATACTTAAAATATCTTTTAAATGAATATATTGAAACCTTATAATATTAAAATAAACATCCTCCCTTTCCTGAACCCTCCCCCTCATCAGTCACAATTAGAGATATCTTCCTTTCAGGTGCTACAGTGTATTATTTATTCATCTATCTAATATGTATTCCAGACTATCTCATTTTACAGTGATCTTTGTCTTCTATATTCCCTTTAGATTGTAAACCTCTTTTTACTGAAAGACCACTGATCACTGCACCTACAGGGAAGAGAATGTAGGAGCATGAAACAGGGCACTAGAAGTACAGGTGAGGAGGTGAGGTATGCAGTTACTGCAGTTTAGACTATAGAAGAAGCTCATTTGATGTAGGTGGTAACAAAGAAGCAGATGCATAGAGTTGCTTAGGAAAAATTCAGAATTCCTGAAGATTGATAGTCTGTTATATGAGGAATAGGCAGGGACCAAGGGGGATTAGTCCTGTGTGCTAGCAAGGGAATCTGAATGAAAAGCTGTCCTTTATTGACCTGGTGCAGGGGAGACATTGAAAAAGGAGAAGTTTTAGGGGAGAAAGTTGATGTAGGCATGTTATACTTAACATCACTTTGAGATGAGGACTGGCTGTGTCATTTGCAGGGCCATTGTTTAAATTTCAAGATGAAGCCAGCATGAGTCCCTTGTGATTGCAAAAGTTGCATGCCCATGAAGCTGGTCCTGCTTGAGATCTTCAGCAAAGATGTCTTAAATAGGCAGATGTAGATACGAGATAGAGTTTAGATCACTGTGCTGGGCTGAGGAAACCCATTAGTCAACATATTACAGAAAGCAGGTAAAAGATAAGTAATGATTAAATCCAGCTGAAGAGAACGCATAGAGTGAGAAGAGGAAACTCTTGAGATGAAGGAGAAGCCACTAAAAAAAAAAAAATGCCAAAAAAAATACATAGCCAGAGGTGTGAAGGGAAAACCGTATTGCAGTATTCATGTTATAATTGCCCTACACTTGCTCTGAAGACAATTCTGTGCACACTGCTTCGTTTTTATCGCTTACACTGACATTTGTGGAAAGGTGTTCATAAATTACTAGGTTAAATTTAGCCTGAAGAAAATAGAAAATTAGCCATCCAATTGATTATGGAGATTAAAAAATTAAAAAGCCTCTTTTCTCACTACCACAGATACCTTTAGGAAATTCATGGAAATGTGTAGAAATCAGTTGGCAATACCACACATTGCTCTGGGTTGAGTGTGGTGTGCTGTGTCCTTAATGTAATGTGGAAAACAACAGAAGCACATCAGAGCCAGTGTGAGGTGTTGGTGTGGCGTAACACCAGGATGACGCTGGAGCCGGGCAAAAACAGATCCAGTGGGGTAGTCCAGACCCTGAACAGCTTTCCTCTCCCATTGCCTTCCAAACATCTGTCTGTGGGCAAGAGATTGTGTTAAGGAAGGCAACTCTTGGAAAGGAGCGTGTGGGTACAGAGAGGTTCACTAAGGTTTGAGATTCAGGTTCACCCAGTGGTAATGAAAACAGAAGTCTACGTTGTTGTACCTACTCCCTTTCCTTACCAGGACAGGCACAGACCCTTCTCTAGGTTTTCAATAGCTGATATACTCAGACTGCTCTCCCAAGAAAAATAGACATTGGATAGTTGCAAGCATTGTAACAGAAAAAAGAGAGCAAATTAAACAATGAAACCAGTTGAATTAGAATAAAAGGACAAAACAGACAAGATTTTTAAACTAGTCTGGTAAATATTCCCCCAAATAGAGAGATATTAGAAGTATGAAACAGGAATAAGCAGCTATAGAGTAAAATCAATTGGAGATATTGGATACATGAATACTTCAGTTGAAATAACTCAGCAGAGGTATAAAATAGCAGTGTGGCACAGCAGAAAAACAAACTGGGCTGGGTGCAATGGCTCTTGCCTGTTATCCCAGCACTTAGGGAGGTCACGGTGGATGGATTGCTTGAGCCCAGGAGTTCAAGACTAGCCTGGGCAACATAGTAAGACCTTTTTTTTTTTAATTATTATTATTTTTATTATTATACTTTAAGTTCTAGGGTACATGTGCACAACATGCAGGTGTGTTACATATGTATACATGTGCCATGTTGGTGTGCTGCACCCATTAACTTGTAATTTACATTAGGTATATCTCCTAATTCTATCCCTCCCCCCTCCCCATGACAGGCCCTGGTGTGTGATGTTCCCCACCCCGTGTCCAAGTATTCTTATTGTTCAAATCCCACCTATGGGTGAGAACATGCAGTGTTTGGTTTTCTGTCCTTGTGATAGTTTGCCGAGAATGATGGTTTCCAGCTTCATCCATGTCCCTACAAAGGACATGAACTCATCATTTTTTATGGCTGCATAGTATTCCATGGTGTATATGTGCCACATTTTCTTAATCCAGTCTATCATTGCTGGACATTTGGCTTGGTTCCAAGTCTTTGCTATTGTGAATAGTTCCACAATATACATACGTGTGCATGTGTCTTTATAGCAGCATGATTTATAATCCTTTGGGTATATGCCCAGTAATGGGATTGCTGAGTACAATGGTATTTCTAGTTCTAGATCCTTGAGGAATCGCCACACTGTCTTCCACAATGGTTGAACCAGTTTACAGTCCCACCAACAGTGTAAAAGTGTTCCTAATTCTCCATATCCTCTCCAGCACCTGTTGTTTCCTGACTTTTTAATGATCACCATTCTAACTGGTGTAAGATGGTATCTCATTGTGGTTTTGATTTGCATTTCTCTGATGACCAGTGATGATGAGCATTTTTTCATGTGTCTGTTGGCTGCATAAACGTCTTCTTTTCATATCCTTAGCCCATTTTTTGATGGGGTTGTTTGATTTTTTCTTGTAAATTTGTTTATTTGTAGATTCTGGATAGTGAGACCTTTTCTTTACAGAAAATACAAAAATGAGCCAGGCATGGTGGTGCACACCTGTGGTCCCAGCTACTCGGGAGGCTGATGTGGGAGGATCACTTGAGCCCAAGCTGAGTCGGCAGTGAGTCGCGTTCATGCCACTGCACTCCAGCCTGGTGACAGATCAAGATCCTGCGGGGGGCGGGGGGGGGAACACTAAAGAGTTAGAAAATCAGATTGAAGAACTCTGAAAGAAGGCCTGAGGAAGAAACAAAGAGATGGAAATATAAAAGAATAAATGAGATTTGGAGGAAACAAGAAACGTAAAAACCTGTATAAAAATATCTGAAAAAGAAAATCTAGAAGAAATGGATAAATTCCTGGACACATACACCCTCCCAAGTTTAAACCAGGAAGAAGTTGAATCCCTGAATAGACCAAGAGCAAGTTCGGAAATTAAGGCAGTAATTAATAGCCTACCAACTAAAAAAAGTCCAGGACCAGACAGATTCATGGCCAGATTCTACCAGAGGTACAAAGAGAAGCTGGTACCGTTCCTTCTGAAACTATTCTGAACAATAGAAAAAGAGGGAATCCTCCCTAACTCATTGTATGAGGCCAGCATCATCCTGATGCCAAAACCTGGCAGAGACACAACAAAAAAAACACACAAAATTTCAGGCCAATTTCCATAATGAATATCGATGTGAAAATCCTGAATAAAATACTGGCAAACCAAATCCAGCAGCACATCAAAAAGCTTATCCACCATGATCAAGCTGGCTTCATCCCTGGGATGCAAGGCTGGTTCAACATATGAAAATCAATAAATGTAATCCATCACATAAACAGAATCAATAAAAAAAACCACATGATTATCTCAATTGATGCAGAAAAGGCCTTTGACAAAATTCAACACCCCTTCATGCTGAAAACGCTCAATAAACTAGGTATTGATGGAACGTATCTCAAAATAATAAGAGCTATTTATCACAAACCCAGAGCCAATATCATACAGAATGGGCAAAAACTGGAAGCATTCCCTTTGAAAACCAGCACAAGACAAGGATGCCCTCTCTCACCACTCCTATTCAACATAGTATTGGAAGTTCTGGCCAGGGCAATCAGGCAAGAGAAAGAAATAAAGCATATTCGGATAGGAAGAGAGGAAGTCAAATTGTCTCTCTTTGCAGATGACAGGATTGTATATTTAGAAAACCCCATTGTCTCAGCCCAAAATCTCCTTAAGCTGATAAGCAACTTCAGCAAAGTCTCAGGATACAAAATCAATATGCAAAAATCATAAGTATTCCAATACACCAATAATAGACAAACAGCCAAATCATGAGTGAATTCCCATTCACAGTTGCTACAAAGAGAATAAAATGCCTAGGAATCCAACTTACAAGGGATGTGAAGGACCTCTTCAAGGAGAACTACAAACCACTGCTCAGTGAAATAAGAGAGATCACAAACAAATGGAAAAACATTCCATGCTCATGGATAGGAAGAATCAATATTGTGAAAATGGCCATACTGTCCAGAGTAATTTATAGATTCAATACTATCCCCATGAAGCTACCATTGACTTTCTTCACAGAATTAGGAAAAACTACTTTAAATTTCATACAGAGCAAAAAACCCATACATACGTAAAAACTCAACATGTCTTTTTTTCTTGGCTCCACCCTTATGGAAGGATTACTGACTTTATAAAAGGGCTTGTGGGAATGGGTTTGCTCTCTTTTTCTCTTCTGCCTATTAAGACACAGAGGTTCTCTCTTAACCTTCCTTCTGTCCTCTGCCATGTGAGGACTCAGTAACAAGGCCCACACCAGATGCTGGTGCCTTGATCTTGGGCTTCCCAGCCTCTAGAACTATGAGAGTATACATTTCTATTATTTGTAAATTGCCCAGTCTCATGTATTCTGTTACAGTAGCACAAAATAGACTAAGACAGATGTCTTGCTTCTAGGTGCACCACTGCATGGTATCATAAGTATTGGAGAAGTGTGTTTTTCCTCCTGAGAAACACAAGCTAACAAGTCCAGATGTCCTACTCCCATGAGCTAACTCTCCTGCACACCCCATAGTGCCTTTCCCTTAGTACACCCTAGCCTTTCAAAAGTCTTCAGGCTTCTGTTTTGGCAAAGTTGAGTTCAGTTCACACTGGATCCTCTTCCCTATTGCAACAGTATCACTGACTAAAATCTGTTCTTGCTACTATAACTAGTGCCTGTCTTTGCTCATTTTGAAAAGCCATTGAAAGAAAATATAAAATTTTTTTGTGACTTTGGCTGGAGGTGCAGAGAGTACTGCTTATATAATAACTCCAGAACAGAAGCCATAAAGGAAAATAATAGATGGTTTGGCTACATAAAAATAAGATCTTTTGCTCAATGATAACGACGTGGTCAACATGTGGATATGAGACCATAAAAAAACTATTTGCAAAATCTAAATCTATTTTGAAATTAGTATTTCAAATATATAAGCAAAGCTCATAAATCTGCCAGATGTACATATGGATGCATGGAACACTGCAGCAGTCAGAGACTATGAACTGAATGTATACACAGAAATAAGCAGATTTTATAAGTATAATGTTGAATAAAATATATGTGGGTGATTAAGATCTGTAATATAATATCTATGTAGACTAAAAACCATACATACATAAAACTTGACATCTTTTCAAACCTACATTTATATATATAAATATATCATGTATATTTGTGTGCGTGTGTGTGTGTGTGTGTGTTGGATAGCTAGGAAAGAAAGGAGAGTAGAGATGAAGAACAAAGGGGAAAATAAAAATGAAATGAGACAAGAGAGGGACCTGGTAAGGTCTTAGTGGGTCATGAACTGAGGATAATGATTAATTCAACTCTGAACCCAAGATCCAATTAAAGAAAAAAAAAAAAGAGAAGTCTGAGTCCAAGTTTTTATGACTGACTATCAAAAGTGGTTTCATGTTTATGTAGCTCTGTATTTTGTAGATTTGAGAACATTTTAGCTGGAAAGCTAGTAATTTCATGCTCCTAAAACATCTAATTATTTTTATAAAACTGAAAAGGAGCCAGGGTATAACAATAGATAATATTTATTATTTATGATAGGACAGACACTGCTCTCATCAACTCATATGAATTATTCCATTTTATTTTCAAATTGGCTTTGTAAGGTAAATTCTATTATTATCTTATGGATGAGGATGTTTAGGCACATAGAAATTAAGTAGCCTGTCCAACTTTAGTTATTACAAGATGGAGACAATAAGTAGAGAGCTAGTAGAATCAATGGCTCTCTGAATTTAAAGGTGGTACAATTAACCAATACACAAGATTGTCACCTGGCACCCACGTCTGTTTCAGATTCTTTCCTAAATAACAGCACAAAGACTAAGTGGACTGTATTTCAATTCATTCCATAGGTATTTTCTTCAAATAGGTAAAGTGCAATGCGTTCTATCTTTTTGGAGTGAACTTTTCTCTGACTTCCAGATCACTTTCCCATTAGCTTATTAAGTTTTATTCAACAGAAGTTCTTCTCAACAAAGTGTAGAATTTTGTTTCTTTTGCTACTTAAGCAACAAAGTTTTTAGGGACAATTAATTATTCTACTTACTGATTACTTTTACTACTTTTTCTCTGCTTCATTTCTTTGAGAAAACATTTAATATCAAATTTAAGCTGTTTGCAACATTCATCCATCTGTCATTATTTGAATACAATGATGAATATTTCCCATGTGAAGAGATAAGGCTGATTTCTCATGGAATGATGAGATATTGAGAAACTGAAATTATGGGGTGATTTTTTTGGATCATATGCAACAAAATATCAGGTTATCTTTTAAAAGAATTTCTTCCTCCCCCTGGAAATTTGAAAGAAAAGAAAAATTTGGTCGATTTTTAAAGGTTAGTATATAATAGAAATAAAGAGCTAAGAAAACGAACACTACAAACCAAGAGATATATAGGATAATAATAACCATAACAATAATGATGATAATGACAGTGACTAACCCCTATGTGGCACTGTGTTAAGAGTCTTACTTAAATGACTTCATTCAATTTTTCAGTACAACCTTATGATCCAGCCATGGAGGTGAAACTTTTGAGCCAGGCATAAACTTGGAATTTATTACTTAGTGGGTGATATGGTTTGGTTCTGTGTTCCCACCCAAATCTCATGTCGAATTGTAATCCCCATGTGTTGAAAGCGGGGCCAGGTTGGAGGTGATCGAATCATGGGGGTGGCCTTCTCTCTTGGTGTTCTTGTGATAGAGTTCTCATGAGATCTGGTTGTTTGAAAATGTGTAGCACTTCCCCGCTGTACTCTCCCTCTCTCCCCTGCTCTGCCATAAAGACGTGCTTGTTTCCCCTTTGCCTTCTGCCATGATTGTAAGTTTGCTGAGGCCTCCCAGCCATGCTTCCTGTACAGCGTGTGAAACTGTGAGCCAATTAAATCTCTTTTCTTCATAAGTTACCCAGTCTCAGATAGTTCTTTATAGCAGTGTGAGAATGGATGAATACAGTGGGAAAGGCAACACATAATTAGCTTACTTAGTTGAAGTCTGGGTAGCTTAGTGTTCAGGAAAAAAACAAGATACAGAGGAAGTGATGCAGGTGCAACTGAAGGGATGAATCCTCAGCAAGATCCTACTTGGCTGCAGACCAAAGTCCTTTGCCTTATTGGTATAAAGGTCTTTGTTCTTCTTTGCTTTCTTTATCCCTAGCCCTCACCTAAACTGCAATTTCCTAGAATTTGGTGTCTGATTGAAAGATTGTAGAACTTGTAACGTGAAGTTATGCCAAAAGAATTGTTTCATTATGTGAGTTGTATTTTAAAAGGTATTGATAAGATTTATCTTTGAGAAAAGCATAAATGCATGAAAAACATGAAAAGCAAAGTGATCTTAGCTTTCCTCTGAGTGTCACTGTGGACAGAAAGATAAAACTTCATTTGGAGTGGGAGATGAAATCTATTCTGTACATCCTGAGAAGAAAGATGTAAATTCCTGTCTTGGGCATTTAGAGAAAGTGAGGCAATAGCTATTACTCTAAGAGATATGGATTTGTGCCCACCTGCCTAGAAGGGACACCACGATTTTAAAACAAGAACACATGAAAATATTACCAATTCTTAATGTCAAAAGTGGTCCAGAAGGCAAGATGTGTGAATTGAGAATGTGGGGCATTTGAGGCCTTTAGAGAAAGGGTAAATTGCTTTTGATGCAGTCTTTTTCTATCCCTAGTGAAATCCTACCACATATTTGATTTTTAGCTGCAATGTGTTACCATATATTTATGCCTTTGAATATGTATTTATTACAGTTTTATACAGCCCATTTTCATGACATGAATTGTTTGTCTCTCTTAAGGGATATCTATATTTTTTTCCCAAGATCATATCAAATGAGAAAAATATGGAAAACAACTACATTTGAAGCAGAGGCAATCCTGTTCTGCAAATCAAACCCAAACAATTAAACACAACTGGAAAAAAAAAAAAAACAAGGAGAAAATTTGTATCTCTGGTTTGTAATTAATTTCTTTACAATTTTTTCAGCTCATTTCTGATCATGGTTATACAGTCCCTTTGAAAAATGTCCCCTTTGTGTTCTGAAATAAATTCAAACTTAATTTATAGATACATGAATCCAAATATTGGAAATTTTGAATATTGCAGGGAGATTTTGGCATAATGATAGGGAAAGGGGGCAGAGAAATTCTAGGCAGAAAAAGGTAGGTCCCTGGCAAAATCCCATCCTTAAGCCAAAAAGCCTGAAACCATGGCCCAAAGTGAGAACTTATATTCCAGTTTTCCCATTCAAATGTTGCCTTTTTCCTAAACCACCCATGGTCCCACTACACCCCATTCTGTGCCTATAAAAACCTCAGACTCAGCTGGTAAACAGGACTACAGCTAGACATCAGAGAGAAGTGTCTTGAGTTCAGAGGGACAGCTTAATGGCATAACTTTGGAGAAGAATCTAGCTAGAGATGGCCACACTTCAGGGGAAGATTACTTACCTGCCTTGTCCCCTTTTCAGCTCCCCTTACTGATGAGAGCCACTTTCATCACAATAAAATCCCCCACATTTACCATCCTTCAATTCATTCAGGCAACCTCATTTTTCCTGGATGCCAGACAAGAGCTTGGGAGCCATGAATACTGATACAAAATGCTGTCACACTGGATCTTTGCCCTTGCCGGTGGAGGGCAGCTGCCCTATGCTAAAAGGCAGAGGGCCCACTGAGCTATTAACACTTAAGCCATCCATGGATGGCAGAACTAAAAGAGCACTATAACATGCCCTTAGGGGCTTTGAGGGCCACAGCACCCCCACCTAGACACTGCTACATGGCCCTCACAAAGTTTGCTCCTGCCAGTGCCTAAAAGCACTTGCCCTGATTTCTGCACCCACTCACCTGTGTGCTCCCTCCTGTGAGGGGTGGAATGCAGAGGGTCTGAGCTAGTGAACTTTGATCTCACCAGCATTGAAGTGGCTGGCCGATTCCAGTGCTTGTGCACTCCAGTTCTTGCCTTGTTTACTCCTGCACTCCCTCCTATGAGGAGTTGAGAGTGGTGGGCTGAGTAAACCAGGCACCCCTGTCATGAGTCCCACAAAGGAGGGAAATATCCTGCTTCAATAGCAGTAATAAAGTTTACATTAAAGGTGCCTTCTTCTGTCTCCCAAGAGTATGGAACAGTCACCATCCACCCTCATCATCTCTGCTTTCACCTCTGCTGTGGCAAGTATGAAATGAAAGAGGATTTTTTTGAGCCATCTTGGAAGAAAAGTAAGCTCAAAATTTGCAGTAGTTATTGTATCCGGCCCAGAGCTTACCATTTTCTCAGATGGGCAATGAGATCCAGTCCCACAGATCCAATAGTGATGGCTACAGTAATGAAAAAAAGAAGTAATTATAGTTTATGTACTGTCTCAATCTACCCCTTCATTTCTATGGCTGCCTTTTCTAACAATCACCATTAACAATTTAGCACGATTCCCTGGCCCCTGTTCTTTCATTTTTTTAATTATTCTAATTTCTCTTTTGTAGAGACAGAGTCTTGCTATGTTGTTTAGGCTGGTCTCGAACTCCTGGTCTCAAGCAATCCTCTTGCCTCTGACTCCCAAAGTGCTGGGATTACAGGCAGTTACCACTGTCCAGCATTCTTGGCCCCTATTCTTCAGCCCAAAATGTCCAAAGCCAAGTTTTGGTCAACCATTCTAAAGGCAAAGGTTGCAGACACTTGTGTTCATACATCTCACAGCAAGCAGCTGCTGCAGTGAAGAGGGCTTCAAACATTTACCTCCAAAGGCAGCAAGAGAGAGAGGTTCATTTCATTTCTCATATTTGGACCGGTGATCTGTTCAGTTGCTCCAATCCTTGCTGTCTTTCTGCTTTTTGTCCTGCAATCTAGTAGGCTTAGAAACTAGCAGGGGCTTTTAGTACCCACACAAGTAGCAGTATAAGCACAGGGAACAGAAAAAGCACAGAGGGAGAGTCTATACTTGGCAGGATGTGTGTTTCAGAGCCTTAGGACACATCAACATGGAAACCTGTAGAGCCACTGAGCCATGGAATGCTCAGCCCATCCAGTGTTGGTTAATGGTACCAGTCTTTGCCAGTCACTGCTTTTTCATAAGCTCAAAGCAAGATAGTCTCCCTTAGCATCAGCAGGAGCTGGTGCCAGGCATCTCCTCTTAATACTTTGACTCTGGTGTGGACCCCTGGGTTTGGCATTAGCACCTTCGTGGGCTATCTGCCTCTGAGGAAAAGCAGTGAGTCAGGATTTGCTGGTTCAGGTGATTTTCTGTCAGGAACTCTTGCCTTGGTCTGTGCCACATGGACAGATATAGGGCTAGCTTTTAAAAAATTTTAACCAGTAATTTGGGGCTGTTTTTTTCTTACTCATACTCAGCTTACATTTCTGTTCTTCAGCTATTATCTGCTTCATTTTCTACAGTAAGCGGAACCCAGGCTGCCCTTCTCACACCAGAGGCTCTCTAATTAGATTTAAAGTTGTTATTAGCCTACTAATAGAACCACAAACCATGGGTGTTTCAAGTCATACAAGCTTTCACAAAGGAGGTCTGGAATTCAGCATGGATTTTCATTCAGGTCCAAATCAGTTATTATGCCCATGCCTAAGATGAGAAACCAAACCAGGGCTGGACTTGGGCCCCTGCCCTCTTCTGGAGCCCTGTGACTCCTGGTTAGCTTGGAAAATGTAAGACCTCAAGGTGTCCAGGCTCCAGGGCTCTTAGCGTGCCACAATACCACTGCTGCTCTGAGGATATATTCAGCTTCTTGTGTGGAATCGTCACCTCCTGCCTTACCCACTCCAGTGCTGTCTCCCTCTTAATGTTTCTGAACTTTCCCATTCCTGCCAATTCATACTTTCAAATTCACACATACTCTTGCAGTCCGTTTGATGCTAGCCTAAGAAGATCTGGTGGTGCTAATGGGCATTCAACCTCAAGAGAACATACCCAAGATGTCCCCATTAGTCACAAGAGTGGCCCTATGGACAAGAGCCACATCTTATGTTAGGAATATTACAGTAGGGGATTAGAAATTGCAGGTACAAGCTGCCATGAACTGTGAAGGATCTGAGATGTTACCTTATTTGCAGGCTAACAAATTGGCCTGCCACAGTTTCATAGATGCTGGTAGGAGACACAAAACTCATTGCTCAGAGACAAAGGACTTTATTACTCAAAGCAAGTAAAATAAACAATTTGCTCTGGGGTACCTGAGCTCCAGTTGCCAGATGGTGACATGAAGAGGAGGACCAGATGACACATTGCAGAGATACATGCAATTGATTGAATTACAGAAGAGAAATCATGAGCTTAGGATACCTGATTCTTTTAAAATGGGAAGTAAATGTGTCTACAGTTTGCTTAAGAGGGAAACACTATCTCTACCCTCTAATGCGGCAATCAAAGCTGCCCTTGGCTCTGGAGAAGAGGTACTATCTCTATCATCTTAGAATGTTCACCATATAAACATCCTTTAAAAGATAGCTTGGAATAAAGGGCTTGTCCTTGTTCATAAAATGTGCATGAATGTGTGAGATCCATAGAAAATTGTCTATCAACAAAATGTACAAATGAGTTTAAAAAATGGAACAAAGAAAACCCATTCCAGAGAGAAACTGCAAAAGAAAAAAACACTAAATTTCTAAAGAATAAAAGAAGTCAGAGGTAGTTAAACATGATAAATGTGAGAGGGTAAATAAAAAACAATAAATACGTAATATTTACAAGAGTTGCTTCTAAAATATGCAGAATATTTGAAAGGGAATAAAAGGTATGTTGGGCAAACACAAAATGAAGAAAACAGGTACAAATGAAAATCATATTTTATGTTGATGAGAGTTAAAAATCTACCAAGAATATGTAAGTAGCCATAAATATTTATTAACTTCATTATATAACTTTGAAATATTAAAAGTAAAAACCGCTTGAAACCCAAGGAGAATTTTATTAATTAAAAGTAATTGTGAAAGATTTTACTCCACATATTTTAATTTACAGATAAAAAAGCAAAAAAGGAAATGATTGAAAATATAAAAAACCTGAATAATTAATTTACATATAGAAGTATGTTTATAAAAAAATGAATAATACACATTCATTCAAACATGATGACAGTCACAAAAACTCTCCACAAATACTACATCACAAGGCAATATAAATTTTGCAGTTCTGAATTAAAAAATTCACATTCTGTGTGTGACAAATAATGAAAGTCTATATTAATAATAAAGTGATAACACTCCCCCATCCAATCACTTGAGAATTTAAATGCAACCTTCCAAAAAATTTTGAGGTGAATAAGAAATCAAAATATGTATTCCAAAAATGAATAGCGTTTATTTAAACTGAAAAATAGTATTCAAGGGAAAATCTGTAATCTTAGAATGCATTCCTTAGATTAAAATAGACTGATAATATGTATTCCTTAGATTAAAATAGACTGATAATATGTGACTAGACTTTCAGTTCAATAAGTTAAAAAATAAAAGTAGAAGGAAACATATAATATAGGTAAAACCAGAATTTTGTGAGATTAAAAAATAAACACAAACTTGAAGAAGAAAACCAAAAAGTATTTCTTCAAAAAGACAAATAAATTAGACCAACATTAGCAAAACTTTCTGGAAAAAAAGTTGAAAAACAATGATAAGAATATTATTAAAAATGAGAAAAAGACATAATCATACTCCTTACAACTACATTCCAATAAATTTGAAAATGGATATGAAATGAAAGATTTCCTAGTATATTGATGAGGAAGAGTATTAAAACCTTATATAGGCCAATAATCATAAGGGAAATTGAAAAAGAAGTGACCTTTAACAAAGTTACAATGCCTAGATAATCCTATAGACAAGTTGTGCCAAGTCTTCTTCCAATATTTCAACTTTTCAAAAGTAGAGAAGAATTGGCAGCTTTCCAGAACCAATGCATAGCCCTGATATCAAAGCCAGACATAATTTTAGAAGGAAAATGGAAATCTAATAGCAACCTAAAGTGTAAAGATTAATGTAAAATTTCTAAACAAAATATTAACAAATGGAAGCTACCCACATGTTAAAAGACTAATACGTTATCAACAGTAGAGATTATTTTTGCAATTCATATGTTTAATATGTTTCAATGTTAACATATTTACTAATACAGATAATTACACTAACCTTTGAAGGGATAAGAAAAATAGGAGCATCCTGATAGTTACCAAAACAATTTATTAGTCAATTTAATTAAATCAATATGAAAAAAGAAAAACAATTTTTCCAGAAATAAAAGGAAATTTCCTAACCTGATATGGGCTTGTTTGATACACAGAGCAAATATCTTAATAGTGAAATAATAAAAATATTCCCATAAACACGACAAGGATACCACTGCTATTTAATACTGCACTATTTAATATTGTAGTCATCCTAACTGGTGCAAGGAAATAAAGTAATATGTAATAGGAAAAAATTGTCACTGTTGGCAAATATTAAAACTGGCTATGCAGAAAATCCAGAGATCAACTAGAAAACTATGAGAACTAATAACTATCATTTAATAAGGTGGCCAGATTTTAAAAAAATTAGTAACTTATATGCCATTAAGAATCAACAAGATCAAGTGGGGGAAATCAGTTTGCATAAGAAAATAAGCCAATCAGTAAATAATTTAGAAGCAAATCTAATAGTCATGTGAGAATTTTCTATAGAGATAACTTTAATGAAATTAATGTAAGAAATCCTTAATAGCAAGAAATATAATGGGGATTACTTAATATAGTAATGATGTGTTTTCTCCTAAGTAAATGAACAAATTAAATGCTTTTTCAGTCCCAATCCCAACAT